>NC_000006.12:9150909-9302424 GCF_000001405.40 Homo sapiens | reverse complement strand
TCAACCAAAAATCTAGTAATAACCCATCTCAGGTAAAGTTCATATTGCACAAGTAAAGAAAACTTTACAGAAATATGCAGCTATAATAATATACTTTGCTATTTTGAACGATTCTAAACATATAATTTGCAAGTGACACCAGATCACAATGTTTTACAGTATTCCGCTTACATTATGAAATTGAATACAAGGTGGCTAAAATTATTTACTCCCAGGAATAACATGTCATCATTGAATAGTGAACATAGTAAAGATGATCACATCAGCAGTAGCAATGCCTTTATTTGAGCTTTGCCTAAATATCAAAGAATAATGTTAACTTTAACTAGAAGATAGCCCCATGTGTTTTTAAATATACAAATCACTTGATAGTAACAACGTTTCAAAATATTGAAGGCTAAAATTTTAGTGTTTTTATTTACAAAATCAATTCCCTGTCAGTGTTTCATCTGAGTCTTTACTATCTAGAGAGTAATCTAATTTACGGAGCTACAATAGTTTTGGCATAAACATAAATAACATGCCTTTCAAAAATCAAGACTTCATTTGCTCTATCCATGAAAAAATACAAGAAAGTCTATGTTTATTTAAAAATTATTTTTATACATGTGTGGATATGATTTTCTGTAGATAAGCACATTGGGACAAAATATTACATACTGAGTTTTTAAATTGACAAATAATAATTGTACATATTCATGGGGTCCATAGTGATGTTTTGATACAGATCCTACAGAGTGGTCATATCAGAAAAATAGCATATTCACCATCTCAGACATTTATCATCCTTGGTGTTGGGAACATTTAATAACCTCCTCGTATCTATTTGAAACTATATATTAATGTTAACTGGAGTCATCCTACAGTGCTATACAACACTAGAACCTATTCTTTCCATCTAGTTATGGTTTTGTATCCTTTAAGAAAATTTTTCCCTATGCTCCTTTCCCCCTACTCTTCCCAGCCTCTAGTATCCTCTGTTCTACTTTTTACTTCTATGAGATCACCTTTTTTTAGCTTCCACGAATGAGTGAGAACATGTGGTGTTTCACTTTCTGTGTCTGATTTATTTCACTTAACATAATATCCTCTGGTTCTCACTATGTTGCCACAAATGAGAGGATTTTTTTTCTTTTTAATGCCTGAATAGTATTCTATTGTGTATAATATATACCACCTTTTCTGTATCCATCCATCTGCTGTTGGACACCTAGGTTGATCCCATATCTTGGCTATTGTGAATAGTGCTGCTATAAACATGGGGGTGCAGATGTCTCCTCCATAAATGGATTTCCTTTCCTTTGGATAAATGCCCAGCAGTGAGATTGCTGGATCATATGGGAGTTCTTGTGGTGTTTCGGGGAAACTCCATTCTGTTCTCCATAGTTTTTTCTGATCTCTCTACATTAAACTCTCCTCTCTCTCAAAGCAGGCAAGCCTTGTGGCACACTTGGGGTATCTCTGGCTTACGTAATTTGTCTTCTACAGAGTGTTCCTTCTTGTGTTCCGACTACTTTGGACAATCATCTTTTATTCTATTTTCTCATAAAAAGAACTTCTACGTCAACCGACTTCAGTTTTCAGATGAATACCTGGCTCTCTATTTTATGGTAGAATTGAAAAAAAAAGAAAGTGATAAATAATCTGGTTGTAGAATCAATTAGATTTTTAAACAGATTTCTCTTCCCGGTATTCTCCCAATATTCCATAAAACAGTATATTTTTACTCAATATTCTTTTAAAATATTTCAAGGTCTCACTAAAGGCAAGACACATCTATATGAAATTTGAAATGTTATTAAAATGGAAACATTCTGCTAGCGGTGATTTCATTAGCAGTGGGAAATATGCAAATATTTCTAGAGTAAATTGATTGAGGTTTATCTCTCTGTGAAGCTGCTTGAAAGTTCCCACCCTTATCCAGGTGTTGCAGTGTAGGCGGACACATGTAATGAACAAAAGGACTCTTTGATGCCAACACCATATCACTCGAAATTGGACAATGCACCTTATTACAAGGCAATTCTTTCTTGTTTTATCCCATCATTAGAAGAAAATAAGAGTGGAAATGCATGTGCTTGCAATCCTCTAATACATTTGTTAGAAACAAGCTTGATTGGGCAGGGATGTAAAGCAAAAAGGACTCTTCTGCAAAGAGGCTGATTCACCACTAAGTGCATGCTTTGGATTTATCAGGGTAAGAGATGGAAATGAGAAGATGCAATAATCTTTCTTTGTTCTTAGATGTCTGGAGATATTTTACTTCATTCATTTGCTTTCAAACAAGTACAAACTGCTGCTCAATGTCCTCTACTATTAGCCTTCATCTGGTTGAGCACATTTTATCCTGAACTTTGACCCACTTCCTACCTTCTCCCTGACCCTTTACACTGGGATGCAAGCTTTACGCAGGTAGGGACTTTGTTTTGGGCACTGGTATCTCTCCAATATCTAACACATGGTCAATAAACATCTACGAATGAATGAATGAATGGAGCTAGAATTGTATGAGCCACATATTCTCTATTTGAGACACAATTTTGAATTTCTGTCAAACAGACACTAGAAAGATTTGGAGAAGAGCTACTAAGACCATCTATTTCTTCTGTCTCTACTACATACGAATCCAAAACACCAAAAAGAAAAAAAGTGTTAGTTATGTCCTTATTACTTATTTCTATAGAAAATCTAGTTCACTCAAACTAATGACACATATGACCACTATGTTCATGTTTTTCTATTATTTTTAAAGCAATAGAGTCGTTAAAATAATGGACATTTGATTGATTATTTTAGTTTTGACTTTTCAGGTGATTTCTGACAATGATATTCTATAAGACAATAAAATACCATTATTATAATGAGAACTAATATTTTATTAGCACTTCACGACTTAAAAAGTACATCCACACTTATTTAGTAGTTTTATAAGCCATTACTCATTTTGGTTTTTTCTGATCTTAAACTTTAAACATATATTTAATGTCTCACTCTATATTTATTAATTATTCTTCTTTATTTAGTGTCTGTAACGCCTTACATATGATCTGTGGGTAGGAGAAGTGGTAGAGGCTTTTAACATATGTTATTTTATTTAATCTCCAGAAAAATCTTACAAAGCTTATAATACTCCCATCACACAGATGGAAAAAATAAGATTCAGCAGGATAGAGACTACGTATTTTACAGTCTATTTTCTTTCTGCTTTTTCAGACTGCTGTCTCCATAACACTTAATATGTTGGGTTAATGACTATTGAGACTGGTTGGCCTACATTGCAAGGTTCTTTTTATTTGCATATCTTCACTTTTAGAGAAATTAGTCACAAGAAAGTCATCTAGTTTGTCCCACTCCTACAGGTTTTTTTCTGCTAATTTTTTCCTGGTATTTTTTTAGTCTTGTTCAAAAACTTTTATTAGATAAAATGTTCTTCTCAGACATATAACAAACTTCTGGATTGAATGTTTCCTAGTAGTAATTTTTCTTTTTATCATTTATTGCCCTGCTTCTGAATGTGGAAAAATATTAGATCACAAATTAAAGTTCTGTATTAGCTCTTTTCATTTTAGTATAGCCACGCAGGGCAGTATAGTTGGGAGGCGGGGTAAGAAACATAGCTCAGGTAATCAATAAGACTACCACTATTTAGGATTAATCAGTTCTGAAACCCAAAATGTCGGCAGTATAAGCGCACATCAGTTAACATACTAGCAAATGATTTAAGTTTAATTTGGTTATATGTTGTGTAATACACATTTTTACATAATATGGACTCACTTTAAATTATACCCAATAACAAGTTTCAAAAATGGAGATGCCTCGTTTGCTTGGACCTTGGTGTTTTAATCCTTTTCTTCTAGATATGATTTCAGCTATAATCTGTTGTTTAAACCAGAATGTAATTTATTCAAAGGGCTTCCAAGTGGAGAAATACCTTATAATCACTCTTAACTGTCTACACCATTGCATAACCACTCTCATGTCTGAATTAGTCTCGAAACAAACTGAACTGGACTCGGGAAAACAGGAGTCTAATTCCAGATCTGCCAATGGATAGTTGTGAGACGTCTTCAAAGTTTGGTCAGTTATGTTTGTAGGATATTTTTTTTTGTTTGCATTAGTCATTTTTGCCCAACATTATCCCTGAAGTTTTTAGGCCTCCCTCCTTCAGGGAAAAGCATAAAATTCCCAGAATCATCTATCATTTGATTGATACTATCATATCTTTCCTTCTTATTATTAGTATCCATATGAAGGCTAAAAAAAATCTCATAATCAATTACTATTCAATTCAGTCAGTATTGGTGTCTGTAAAATGCCTTAAGGAACTTTTAGTAGATTTGTAATATAAGAGAAATCTTATATATATGGTAGCTAAACTAGTTAAGGGAGGTATACTACTTATAGATTTAACAATAAACTTTACGATACAAAAATCTCCATAGAATTTTATTTCTTGTAATTTGATTTACATTTAAATACCTTTAGCTAATATGTTATCTACACTTATTTAGCACATACTATGTAATAATCACTGCACTAGCATCCCAAATGCATGAAAGTGTTCCATCTTCACATCTTCGTGGGTTGTAAGTATAAGGCTATGAGAAGTTAATTAAATTATCCAAGGTGACCCTGCAGGATAGATCCAGTATTTGAATTGTGGATGAGATGACAAAATAAAAGATGTATCTGTTACAGAATGTGGTGTTTCTCTAGGAATAGGAGCTTGATATCTTTTTAGAGTATCTATAGGTCAGGATCCAATCAGGAGAAAGATATCACACAGTAATTTGAAAAGATGAAGTTTAACGTGAAACATTATTTAATTATGATAAAAGTTACTACAGAAATATACATCGAACTCTGAAGGGTTCTCTAGGGATGAGTGAGAGTATTCAAGGGAGGACAAAGTTGGAAGTGGAGTCTCTCCCAAAGCTGAGGCTCCAACCTCATTGGAGGAGATGTGCTTTATGTCCATTGGAAGGCAAAGAAGTTTGCTGGTTTTCCTAGGCCAGAGAATAAGCAGAAGTAAAATTTTCAGGGTATAAGGACGCTGAGGCTGACAGGCAGACACACAAAGAGAGTAGGGCTGCCGCTGCAAGTGTGAGACCAGGAGGAGCAAGTGACAGCCGTTTTGGGAGGAAAACAGAAAACAACCCTCTGGATTGCAGGCAAGCAGAGGTTGCTGCAACTTTCAGAGCCATAGGAAAGCTGTCGAAGAGTCAAAGTTGGTGGACGGTTTCTTAGAGGACATTGGTGTGACCCTGCAGTTTCTAGGCCTCAAGCATGTAGACAGCCTGTAGGCAAGGGAATTTCCAAGCCCAGGCCAAGGTTGTAAAGTCACTGAGGAACTGTGCCCTCTGTGTCTGATGTCTCTACCCACATACCATATTGACTAACTGTGTTGCAGAAGTATGAGAAAACAAAATAAGGCCCGACAGAACCAGGAAGGAAATCTCCCTTTCTCCTACAATGCCCCTACAGCACCCAATTCTGACCAAGCTTTACATAGTGGTCCCTGTATAGGAGAGATGCTTAGAGAGTTCAGTACATTATCACAGAGCTGGTACTCAAAGGTGGATTTACAGACCAGATGCAGTAAATTGATAACCAGCACAGACCATGACAAATTTGTTGTTATACAGTTTATTTACACAGTTTAAAAATCACTTGAAAAGAGTGCCACCAATAATTAAAATTATATCTTAAGTTAAACATCTGAGTTATTGCACAGACTTTTTAAGACCACACAAATTTTGTTGCAGAAATTGCAAGGAATGGAATTGCCCCCAACCTAACACAGCCACTGATTGCTCTCATCTTTCAAAGTATAGGTTTCCCTTTACATTATTGAATAAACCACTTTTCTAGTCTCATGTAAGGAATGATTTCAAATGGAAAGGCTTTAGCCATCTCTCAGCAACAATACAATGAAAGCTATCAATCCTTGTGATGACTCTTCAAAATCCCAATTATAAGTGCCTTTCACTAAAGTAGACATGTTTCATGGAAGATACACAAATTTTAAAAAACAAGAGAAAAGTTAAAACAGAATTTCAGAGAAGTTTATGATTTTCTGTAATAATTGCTTTTAAAACTGAAAGGAATTTTCATTCATATAACCCAAATTCTATTCTAGTTTTAGGTTTAGAAGATATTGAAATGAATCAAGAAACTCTATAGCATTGTTCTTGGTTAACTTTTATCATTAGAAGTTAAGTATAAACTCACGTGTGTTCTCCTAAAGTTTTGAAATTGGTTCTGGTTTGGTTTTTGAATTATTATTTGGAAGAAGAGAGCAGAAATTATTTTTTCAACCATTCTTTTTAATATGCTTGGAAGAAAATCAAGTAAGACTGGGAATATATTAAATTATAATTTATGCTCCCTTAAGCTTAGCTAGATTTGAAGAATTTATGTTGCCCTAAATACTTGAGCCAGTTTTATGTTCTTAACATAGCAACAAACAAAATGTTAAAGAAAGTCCTTCCGAATTATTATACTGCTCCAATTATCTTCTCTTCCCTGATTGTGAAGGAAATGTCAAGTGGGGGAAGTTTAAAATGATTCGTATATTGCTGACTAATTAAAATAACAGTAGACGAATTATACTGAATGGGCAAAAGCTGGAAGCATTCCCTTTGAAAACTGGCACAAGACCAGGATGCCCTCTCTCAGCACTCCTGTTCGACATAGTATTGGAAATTCTGGCCAGGGCAATCAGGCAAAAGAAAGAAATAAGGAGTATTAAAACAGGAAGAGAGGAAATCAAATTGACTCTGTTTGCAGATGACTTGATTCTAAATTAAGAAAATCCCATTGTCTCAGCCCCCAAACTCCTTAAGCTGATAAGCAACTTCAGCAAAGTCTCAGGATACAAAATCAATGTGCAAAAATCACAAGCATTCCTATACACCAACAATAATAGACAAGCAAAGAGCCAAACCGTGAAAAAACTCCCATTCACAATTGCTACAAAGAGAATAAAATTCCTAGGAATACAACTTACAAGGGACTGAAGGACCGCTTCAAGGAGAACTACACACCACTGCTCAAAGAAATAAGAGAGGACACAAACAAATGGAAAAAACATTCCATGCTTACAGACAGGAAGAATCAATATTATGAAAATGGCCATACTGCCCAAAGTAATTTATAGACTTGATGCTATTCCCATCAAGCTACCACTGACTTTCTTCACAGAGTTAGAAAAAAAAAACTACTATAAATTTCATATAGAACCAAAAAAAAAGCCTGTATAGCCAAGACAATCCTAAGCAAAAGAAAAAAACTGGAGGCATCATGCTACCTTACTTCAAACTATATACAAGGCTGCAATAACCAAAACAGCATGGTATTGGTACCAAAACAGATGTATAGACCAATAGAACAGAACAGAGACCTCAGAAATAACACCACAAATCTACAACCATCTGATCTTTGACAAACCTGACAAAAACAAGCAATGGGGAAAGGATACCATATTTCATAAATGGTGCTGGGAAAACTGGCTAGCCATATGCAGAGAACTGAAACTGGACTCTTTCCTTACAACTGACACAAAAATTAACTCAAGATGGATTAAAGACTTAGGGGAAAACCCAAAACCATAAAAACCCTAGAAGAAAACCTAGGCAATACCATTCAGGACATAGGCATGGGCAAAGACTTCATGACTAAAACACCAAAAGCAATTGCAACAAAAGCCAAAATTGACAAATGGAATCTAATTAAACTAAGGAGCATCTGGACAGCAAAAGAAACTAGCATCAGAGTGAACAAGTAACCTAAGGAATGGGAGAAAATTTTTGCCATCTACCCATCTGACAAAGGTCTAATATCCAGAATCTATAAGGAACTTAAACAAATTTACAAGAAAAAAACAACCCCATCAAAAAGTGGGCAAAGGATATGAACAGGCACTTCTCAAAAGAAGACATTTATGCAGCCAACAAACATATGAAAAAAAGCTCATCATCACTGATCATTATAGAAATTCAAATCAAAACCACAATGAGATACCATCTCATGCCAGTCAGAACGACAATTATTAAAAAGTCAGGAAACAATAGATGCTGGTGAGGGTGTGGAGAAATAGGAATGCTTCTGCACCGTTGGCAAGAGTGTAAATTAGTTCAACCATTGTAGAAGACAATGTGGTGATTTCTCAAGGACCAAGAACCAGAAATACCATTTGACCCAGCAATCCCATTACTGAGTATATACCCAAATGATTAAAAATCATTCTACTATAAAGACACATGCAGATGTATGTTTATTGCAACACTATTTACAATAGCAAAGACTTGGAACCAACCAAAATGCCCATCAATGTTAGACTGAACAAAGAAAATGTGGCATGGAATACTATGCAGCCATAAAAAAGAATGAGATCACGTCCTTTGCACAGACATAGATGAAGCTGGAAGCCTTCAAACTCAGCAAACTAACACAGAAACAGAAAAGCAAATACCACATGTTTTCACACATAAGTGGGAGTTGAATAGTGAGAACACATGGACACAGGGAGGGGAAGAACGCATGGACACAGGGAGAGGAATAGCACAACCAGCGCCTGTAGGGGTTGAGGGCAGACAGGAGGGAGGGTATTAGGACAAATACCTAATGCATGCATGTGTTTGTTTACTTTTTTTATTATAAATGCTGATATATTCACTTCTCTATATATAACTATTGCCACATTTTGAATTATATTTTAATGTGTAGAGTTAAAAAAAACCTAGAAACAAAATGATCAGGGAGTTCACAAAAGACAAAGTGGAAATAACCAACCAGCATGTTTTAAAATGTTGAATCTACCTGATTTTCTTACACCATTTAGGATTCTGAAACTGACGAATATACATTATTCCAGGGGTGTAAAAAAAATGGGTGTCAGGAAATCACTTACACTTAGAAGAGGAGATTAAACACAAAGATTAAAAAAATTAAACAGCACAAATGTAAAGCATGAATACAAAAAATAGGATGCCGAGTTGTGAAGGGGTTGTTGACAGCTTTCTCAACATTATTCTGCTAAACACTGCATCTTTAAGATATTTCTTGAAGAAATACTCTTTGGCCAATTAAATTGGAAACACTTTGCATGGATTATCCACCCCGTCCCCCAGCAAAGTCACAATAAAGGAAAACTGACTAAAACCATGGAAAAAACCTGCAGGAAATAAGCCTGCTTCATTTTGCGGTCAGTCGATGGTTTATCATGCTGTCCCTTCATTATTATTCTTCCTTAGCTCAGCATGGGATCCTTTTTTCTTGGCAGCAATACCAATGTCTTAAGTGCAGTTCACTTCCAGACAAGCTGGATTATTCTAGGAAAAAGAATTTTCTGGAATTGAGAGTTTGTAGGAAAGAATATGCATAAAAGAGAAAAAAGGAAAAAACTTACCAAGGTTGACAAAATACTTTCACTTGACTTGATCTGAACAAATTTTCTTTTTTCACTTTACTTGCCTAGTTGGGCATTTTTACAATGAGGCTATGAAAAGCTCAGTATCATGGATTGAATGCAATATATTTTTAAAACCTCTTAAAATCACCTAAAAACTGGAAACTCAGTTTATCTTCTCCATCAAATCAAAAGGTAGCAAGAAGAAATAAGGGCTTCAGAAAACAATGCAAATTCAAACTCTTGTTTTCTTAACCATCAGTGCGAGCCTGGGGTTAACTGGAATCTTGGCTTAAGTGTACTTTGAAAAAGCCTATTAAGTATTGTAAACTTTTTTTCAAAACAAAACCAAATGTACTTTTTAAATAATTTCTAATAACCCCTTATAACAAGGTTTCCAACCGGGGTGAATTGCAGTAGACTTTGTGATATGTATGTTGGTGGGTCATAACTGGTGGGACTCTGAGGGTATGTTTCCTGTTTGGGCTCCTTCAGGGAAGTAGAAGAAAGTAGGAATTTCAGGTACTTAAGATGCTAGGCAGAGCCTAAAGTATTAAGAAATGCTGCTATCCTAACATTAAGTCCTCGGGGAATTGCACAATTTCTCAGATATTGGTGATAAAAGCATCCACTCATGTATTCCTACTACTTTTCCATTTCAGGTCCTGATTTTTCCCTTGGGCATTTAGAATTTGTTCCATCAGTTTCCTACAGTGGTCTGTGACCAGAGCTGATCCCACCAGCAGCACATTAGACAAGGAAACTTAATCGACAGTGGAGGTTATTATTATGCAATCCCCAAGTAAAGAGCCTTTGTTCTGTTGGTTGATGGCTTACTCTTCTCTGGCTGCCCTTACTAGATCACCTGTATGCATTAGAAGAAAGGTCAAAGAGTTACATAAATAATCCGTCCTACATACATAGAGCACCTATAACTCAGAATTATAGATATAGAATCAACAGGTGGTAAAATAAGAAACACTCAGCACCTGTGAGATCTTGAGCAATCCCGCCATCCTGGTTTCTGGAGTTCAATTCTTCACCTGAATAGTGAGAGAGTTGGGGTAGTTAGACTTCCTTCTTTTTTTGAGATGGAGTCTCACTCTGTCTTGCTCAGGCTGGAGTGCAGTGGTGCCATCTCAGCTCACTGCAGCCTCCACCTCCCAGGTTCAAGTGATTCTCCTGTCTCAAACTCCAGAGTAGCTGGGACTACAGGTGTGTGCGACTACACCCGGTTAATTTGTATCTTTAGTAGAGATGGGGTTTCACCATGTTGGCCAGGCTGGTTTTGAATTCCTAGCGTCAGGTGATCCACCCGCCTTGGCTTCCTAAAGTGCTTAGATACAGGCGTGAGTCACTGTTACTGGCCTAGACTCCCTTCTGAAGCTCTAAAATACAAATCAAAATTAACAACTGTTATTTTAATGAGATCAGGGATCTAGAAGGGAGAGGGGACATCCCTTGAACTTAGCAGGTCAACCTCTTGAAAAGGCACCCGCCCCTTCTTAAGGGAGAGCATTTGTAATCATTGCAGCAGACTTAATAAGGAAGCACAAATCTCACTCAAAATAGCATTCCCTTTCTACACACGAATAAACTAAAAATCATCAGATAAAAAGCAGCTGTTGTGTAAGGAGCTGAATTTATTGAGGGAAGGGGGGAAAAGCAGAAAAGAAGACTTCTATTCCTCTCAAATATTCTAATCATGTTGTATGTATAAATAGATACATAGCTACTGGGAGTGAATTTTTTTTTCTGAAAAGTAAGAAAATAACTTTCCTACTTTCCAACAGGTAGGTAAAATTCATTGCAAAAAGCTAGTCTTCATTACACAAAAGAAAAACATTTGATTGAGGTTTACATCTAGAGATGGAGTACAGTCAAGCTATATAGGTCATAGTTAATTTCATGCTGAATGCCCCAGACAAAGCTGTGAGAGGGAAGGTTAATTGACATGTATGGCTTTCAGATTCTCTCAGTCAAGACTTGGATCCTTGTTCTTCCATCTGATAGTGAGAGGTGACAGCGTGCTGGCAGTCCTCACAGCCCTCGCTCCCTCTCGGCGCCTCCTCTGCCTGGACTCCCACTTTGGCGGCACTTGAGGAGCCCTTCAGCCCACCGCTGCACCCTGGGAGCCTCTTTCTGGGCTGGCCAAGACCGGAGCCGGCTCCCTCAGCTTGCAGGGAGGTGTGGAGGGAGAGGCGCGAGCGGGAACCGGGGCTGCGCGCGGCGCTTGCGGGCCAGCTGGAGTTCCGGGTGGGCGTGGGCTTGGCGGGCCCCGCACTCGGAGCAGCCGGCCCTGCCGGCCCCGGGCAATGAGGGGCTTAGCACCCGGGCCAGTGGCTGTGGAGGGTGTACTGGGTCCCCCAGCAGTGCCAGCCCGCCGGCGCTGCTCTCGATTTCTCACCGGGCCTTAGCTGCCTTCCCGCGGGGCAGGATTCGGGACTGCAGCCCGCCATGCCTGAGCCGCCCACCCCCTCCGTGGGCTCCTGTGCCCGAGCCTCCCCGGTGAGCGCTGCCCCCTGCTCCACGGCGCCCAGTCCCGTCGACCACCCAAGGGCTGAGGAGTGGGGGCGCACGGCGCGGGACCGGCAGGCAGCTCCACCTGCAGCCCCTGTGCGGAATCCACTGGGTGAAGCCAGCTGGGCTCCTGAGTCTGGTGGGGACGTGGAGAACCTTTATGTCTAGCTCAGGGATTGTAAATACGCCAATCAGCACACTGTGTCTAGCTCAGGGTTTGTGAATGCACCAATTGACACTCTGTATCTAGCTACTTTGGTGGGGCCTTGGAGAACCTTTGTGTCAGACACTGTGTATCTAGCTAATCTGGTGGGGACGTGGAGAACCTTTATGTCTAGCTCAGGGATTGTAAACGCACCAATCAGCGCCCTGTCAAAACAGACCACTGGGCTCTACCAATCAGCAGGATGAGGGTGGGGCCAGATAAGAGAATAAAAGCAGGCTGCCGGAGCCAGCAGTGGCAACCCGCTGTGGGTCCTATTCCACACTGTGGGAGCTTTGTTCTTTTGCTCTTTGCAATAAATCTTGCTACTGCTCACTTTTTGGGTCCATACTGCTTTTAAGAGTTGTAACACTCACCGCGAAGGTCTTCAGCTTTGCTTCTGAAGCCAGCGAGACCATGAGCTCACCAGGAGAAACGAACAACTCCAGACGTGCTGTCTTAAGAGCTGTAACACTCACCGCGAAGGTCTGCGGCTTCACTCCTGAACCAGTGAGACCACGAACCCACCAGAAGAAACAAACTCCTAACGCATCCGAATATCATGAAGAAACAAACTCCAGCTGTGCCACCTTAAGAGCTGTAACACTCACCACGAGGGTCCGTGGCTTCATTCTTGAAGTTAGTGAGACCAAAAACCCCCCAATTCTCGACACAATAGGACATCTTAGCACACACTCTGATTATATCATATCAACCACAGAACCCTACAGCACACCAAGGCACCCCCACAGGAGGCAAATAACGTGTTGTCAAAGTTCCAAAGCTAATGTATTACAATAAAATTTAAAAGCAAAAATCTCGAATGACAATTGTAAATTTAAGTTGATCATAAGTAGTGTATAGCAGGTATAAAATATTTTGTGAAAAGTGCCTCAAATTAGGATAAACATGAAAGCTTAAGGCCGGTTTATAGCTACTACATTCAAAGACTTATGAGATACACTTCTTAGAGATGTGAACCAGAATAAAATTGCAAACAGATTAATTAACAATACTGTTTGTGTTTCCATTGCACTGAACTGCAGTAAGCAAGTTCTACATCAACAAATGTTAGATGTATTTCCTAAGGAAATTAAGTTGCACGAATTTAGTTAGGGATGTTGCCATTGGCCAGTGCCTAGAAATCTTCCATGACAAAGTTATTGAGAAAAAACCACTGTGTTGTATCAAACAGTAAAATCAACATGTAAGGGAAGTTAGAGGAACTTCATTTCCTAAGTGCTGCTCCAGTCTTACCCAGCTCCTGCGTGATTCTGGGTGAAGGGGATCTTACAATCGGAGTGCTAATCAAAGATATTGCCCTGGGAATTGTGCCTCCTTGCACACCATTTTTCATCATTCATCGTATAGAAGGGTATAGTATCATATGGAATACAGATTTACCAGCTTTCAGAGAGGGTTGTGCTACAAATGGGATTCAGCAGTCAGTCTGACAGCATTTCATGAGTATATCTGTCTTCACTTCCTTTCACACCCTGCTCTGGCCTTAGTGGAGGGTTCTCATACACAGGACCAGAGGGTATGAGTGAAGTATGATTAGTATTGACCTTTCTCTTTCAAGTATGATCACTATGAATGTAAACAGAATAAGAAAGAGTGGAGGGAAAAACTGTTGCAGATGTCATATTAGTCAAGGTTCTCTGAAGAAACAGAATCAATAAAAGGAAAATTATTATGAGCAATTGACTTATGTGGTTATGGATGCTGAGAAGTCCCGCAGTCTACTATCTGCAAGCTAGAGACCCAGGCAAGCTGGTGGTGAAGTTCCAGTCCATACCCAAAGGCCTGAGAACCAGGGAGCCAATGGTATACATGTCAATCCAAGTATGAAGGCCTGAGAATTAGGAGAGGCTGATGGTATAAGTCTCAGTCCAAATCAAAAGGCCCAAGAACCAGGAGCACCAGCGGATGTACCAGCTCAAGCAAACAGCAAATTCAGCCTTCCTCCACATTGTTATTCTATTTTAGTTCTTAGCGGATGGGATGACACCCACCCACATTGGTGAGGGTGATCTTCTTTATTCAGTCTATTGATTCAAATGCTAATCTCTCTAGAAAAGCCCCCAGAGATACGCCCAGAAATACTGTTTTACCTGCTATCTGGGCTTCCCTTATCCCAGTCAAGTTACCCATCACAGATCAAAACAATGTATCGCTTCAGAATCCATTTCTGAAGCACATTGAGTAAGAGTGATACACTCTGATTGCGTTTTCCCTCATGTGTTCCTTCTTTCTGTTATTTGTTCGTTATCTCACATTTCGTGATTCCACAATCATTATCCCTTGCTTTTTTCTTTTTTTTTGATAAAGACAAACATGATGCTATGACCTAGGAGAAAAACAGATTTGTTGTCATTAAAGATCATGCTGCTTTTCTTGAATGGTGCTTCCAAAAGATATGAAATTGGTTTGTTTTCTGGTATGTGTGTTGAAATATTATGGAACAATACTCTGAGAGTTAGAAGACTGGCTTTTTAAAACAATTTTTTTCTGCATTTTGTAAGTAATTCTTGACATAATCACTTGACTTATGCTAATGTTTTGATTTCCCCAACAGCAAAATGAAATCAAGAATGCACAGTATTTACTTACTTTGTGGCAATATTTGGGGGTGAGTTATGAAGAAAATGATTTTAGCTATCTTGAAGAATTTTTAAAATGTTCTGACAAATGATTATATCCCATTTAGCAGTTAAGAAAATAAAAGAAAAAGTAATCCAGTAAATTTTTATACTGTAGACATTTTAATTGGAACAGTGAAGAGGATATAAGAATGACTTATATATCTATCATATAAAATTGCTTTTATATGAAGAAACTATTTTGTGACACTGAACCAGTTATCAAATATTAAAGCCTGCAATGACTAAAAAAAGCTAAGTCAAAAGACTAAGTTAAATTGGAAATTATCAAATAATAAACTGTAGATATGAACAATAGTTTATCTGGTAGGCATTCTTTCCACATTTGTATAAACTTTCTATTTCTTTTTAGGCCAGTAACCTAGGAAAAACAATAGTAATCTAAAAGGCTTATCTCATGTCACCTTTCCATTGCTATTTGAAAATACATTAGCTTTTTCTAGTTTAATGGAAAACAACATGATTATTTAACTTCCCAAGTATCATAATAGAGAATTGAATATGATTTAAAGATCCCAAATGAGTCCCCTAAAATCCACATACATTAAGTGATAGACATTGTAACGTGACGAGATTATAGACCATTGGCATTACTTTGGAAGTCCTGTATTATTTCTTCTATGGCTAATTGACTGCATAGTACCCACATATGCAGTTAAACAGTCTTCTATAAGTTTGCTACTATTTTAAAAGAAGAAACCCTATGTTAAGGCAACAATTTAAGTGAAGAATGAAAAAAAATGCTTACTATATTCGTCACTAGTTTCTTCATATATAAACAGAATATCTAAATCATAACATTTTAAGCTAAAACAGCACTTTTGAAAGTTCAAGTTCTCTTGATCTATAAAAGTAATTTGTGACTGCACAGTAAGCAAAACAAAGGTTACCAATCCATGGCCCAAATTATTAAATAGAAAAGACCAAGGTGGGCATGATTATTTTTACATTTCTGACAGATGCAATTTTTCACATGCTAATACTTCACTGGATGATGGGAAGGGTTAGGAGAAGCGGATTGTCACAGAAATGTAGATGCACTTGTAGAAATTGCTTGCTGGAATGCAGGAATGAGCTTTGATCCTTCACGTACAGCTTCTGTGTAGAAAATCCAATGTGTAGTGTAGAGATGGAAAAACCCCTTTCTTTTTGTTTTTATTTAAAATGATTTTCGTTCATGTATCCGAAGCTTGAGCATCCATTAAAAAACAACATCAACATCCCATAAAAGTAAGTTTGCACTATGAAAGGCATGTGTTTGTGGGCCGCTGCCAGTCTGCGTCCTTCTGTTTCAGCATCTATAAAAGGAAGTGCCTGGATTATATACTATTTAAGGTCCTTGAAGATAGAAAATTCGATATTGTTATTAAAAGGAAGTTTTGATGGATTGATGAAAGGGTGCATATGTAATAAAGGCAGTATCATGAAATATTAACTAGGTGCAGTGTATGTGGGAGTTCCCTGTACTTTTAGAAATTTTCATAATTAAATATTGAAAAGTACAATGTTGATTAATAATATTCTACAGTATGTACTGATAAGAATTGATACATGCATTCACATTATTTAGTATTTACAGTAATATCTGAAGTATCAGCTCCATTTTATAGATGCAACTGAGGAAAGAGAGTGGGTTTACCTACAATTACCCAACTAGTTAGCCAAAGATTATAAAATGAAAAACAGCTCCTGATTGTTTGTAATAAAAATTCAAATTAAGTGTGTGTGTGTATGTATATATATATATATATATATATATACACACATATATATATACACATATATATATAAATACACATATATATATATATACACATATATATATATATACACATATATTCTACTTGCTAAGTAATTATTCATACTTTAGGCATGTATCAAATGTGCCCAGCAGCACATTAATGACACTATTCAATTTTATAGAAATTTACAGTTTATAAAGTAGTTTCAGATGTGTCGTTCTCATTCAATTAATGAAACAAAACTGTGTGATAGGTCAGGTAGGAGATACTATCTGTATGTTAGCAATGAGGCCTCTCATCACAGAGAAATATCTTAATTTTCTCAGGGTAATCAAACAAAAAATCAGATCATGGCCCAGAATCCTGGTTGTCTATCTCCTATTGGAACTGTGTAGACTATAAAAGAAAAGAAGGGACTTTACTTAGAAGCAACTAACAAATTGGCAAGATATGTCTTATGAAGTAATTAGAAAATAAATTTAAAACATTAGCAAATATGCTCTTGGTTCTGTAAGAACACAATAGTCAGGAACGTACTAAAGAAATTCACAGTAAGAAAAAAGGCTGCTGTTAGTTCCAAGATGACTGATATACAGATTTTTTACATCGATGTCAATTCAGAAAAATTTGAAATATAAAAATTTTATTCTTTATCAGTAGTTCCCAAATTCTCCAGCAAATTTGGTGGTATACTAATGATCCTTAAATTCATTTTTTTCCAAAAAATGAATCTTGGTCAAGCATAGGAACTCATACCTGTAATCCTAGCACTTTGGAAGGCCCAGGTGGGAGGATCACTTGAGGCCAAGAATTTGAGACAAGCCTGGACAACATAGCAAGACTCCAACTCTTCAAAACATAAAAACATTAGCCAGGCATGGTGGTGCATACCTATAGTCCTAGCTCCTTGGGAGGCTGAGATGGGAGGATCACTTGGGCCCAGGAGTTGGAGGCTGCAGTGAGCTATAATCAGGCCACTGCACTCCAGCCTGGACAGCAGAGCAAGAAGACCCAGTCTTTGGGGAAAAAAATGGGAATCTTGGGATGGTTCACTTATAAACCAGAATAATCCCCTGATTTGTACTTAGGACCATCTAATTAAAGTCCATATTATCATTACCATGACCTCAATCTGCTCAACCTGTTTTTGAAAGGAATGCCCCTATGACTGCACCAGTATAGCATGAATATTTAGGAATATACAATGACTTTGCACAATGTGAAGTTATAATAACAGTATCCAGACAAAATACAAAATTTCCTTTTCAAATGCAATAACAATTGCTGATGTTGAATTAAGGGAATTAAATTACATGGTTTGATTCTATTTTCCTGTGTTGATACAACCTTAAATTGTCAAAATGAAATTTCAGTTAAATATATTTTTTCCATTATGCTCGTTCATGAAGAAAAGAAAAAAAATAAAAGTAACAAAACTAAAATGTTAAGTATGGCAAAATAAAATTATAAAGTCAGTTTCAGTTGGCTCATTTATTAGGACATTATTACTGTGTAATTTAAAAAAGGACAGTTAGATTTTCTCTGATGTCCGTACACAAACTTGATTCTGTCAACAATCTATTTGGCATTAGCCAAAATGGTAGAATGTATGGTTATATTTATAGAAACATGGTACAATACCTATATAAGATAAACTCATAGATGCATAGTAGAAAATCTTATGTAATTATAGATCATTAACATATCATATTTGTATTTGAATAAGAAATTAGAATATGAAACAATAAAAATTATTTAAAATTACAATGCACACTGAGGCTCTAAGAATGCCCTTCACCTGTAAGGGAAGCAAGCCTGCATAAACACATTGCATATTTCCATTCCTTCTGATTTCTTCTCTAATCCGTTGTGGAAGGGAGATCATTGGCACCTTAAAAGTCTTAGGTGAAGACATTAGTTTCTTCATTTCTAATCACTTTAATTGAATGTGTAGTGTGTATATGGAACTATAATTCTGTCCAGAGGTTGCTTGTCAAACCATGTTTTTATTGTAATTACCTGATTTGTTCAGCTTTAATCATATTTACTTTTGAAGGTCAGCTGTCCTGCTCAGACACGGTTAGTTGAAGAAGGGAAAAATATGTAACACCCACAGACAGAAAGCCTACAAGAAAGAAAAAGGAAGAGAGTATTGTCTTCCCATTTGGACAATAAACAGAGCCAAGCTGTCACCTACAAATTATTGTAAACTGACAGATCATACTATTTCCTTTCACTTCATTACATTTCATAGTCACTTTTGACATTTGATGCTGACTTGTAACTTTTGGGAAAGAAGGCTTATCATTCTTCTTTGAAGATTTAATTGACTTCGATCTTGTTAGATGCCAATGATGATGAATCGATTCACAAATAGACTTAAAGAGAGAAAGTTGAAAATGGACAACATCCCTCTTTTCCATGATTTCCACTTAGGAAACGATTTTAAGTCCATTTTTCATCACATTTTTACATATTGTGGAAACCTTCCCAAATTCACCTACCGGGCTCTAGGTTAACTTTTGTGAAGAAGTGGTATTTTAACACCGTGACTCCACTTAATGCCACAAATCTATGGGATTATTATAATCAGTCAACATCACTTACAAATACTTATTTACTTTCTGATACATTCACATATAATCAATACAGAGCAAACTACCCAATTATATCTTGATATTGTTATCAAGAGGGAACCAACTTAGCTAGTGGCTTCATCTTGGTACCAAGTTGAAAATGACTATTAATGGTGTCAAGGAAAAGAAAAATGAGAAATAGCAAGATGAAGAAAATTAGCACTAAAAGCAACTTTTAACTAGTATATAATAACAAGTAGAAGGATTTGATAGGAAATCTAAGACAACTGAACACTTTTGTACAAGGCAATAATAAGATATCACACATGATTGTGTCCAAAAAAAGAAAATTAAAAAAATTCAAAACAAAAATAGCCACTATGATGATCCACTTATCTATTGCTTATATAATACAATATCCCCAAACTTAGGGGTCAAAATACCAACCATTATTCTATTCCAATGTTTTATAGTTTGAGTAGTTGATTAGGCTCAACTAGGTGTTTCTGATTCTCTCATGCATTTGCACTCTGACAATGGCTGGAGCTAGAGCTAGCTTAAAAGATTCTTCACTCATATCTGGAACCTCAGCTGGGCTGTTGGCCAGAACACCGATATATGGCATCTACATATGACCTGGGTTCAGGTTGTCACAGAGAATAAGCATTTTAATTTTTTCTTCTCAAGGAGGTTCCTACTTCACTGAAAGAGGAGGCCAGCACTAGTCACTCTTGCTATAATGGGGTCAGTAGGCACAGATTCTGAAAGTTGCTTATGGGATCCATTTGACTATCACATGTAACCATGTTTCCACTCTTAGCTTTTATAAGTAATAAAGTTTATTCTTTAAGTGCATGTGCCCTGTATTTGTTTTACATTGCAATGTATTAAAAACTCAAGAGTCCCCCTTCAGAGACTCTACCATCTCAGTACCTTCACGATATTAGATGCTAAATAAATATTTACCAAAATCAATGATAACTGTTATGGTTCTACACCACATGAGAAATGTTGGATTATATTTCAATTAAATGAACTTAATTTAAAATTCCCTCCTAAAGAGATAAGAGGCATTACCGAGCCTATTGTCAGCAAATCAAACCTTCAACTAAAAACTGAAAAATCTATGAGGTATCAGGCAGCAACTGATAAGAATTCAGGGACAGCTGGATGTCAGTGTTATTGATTTTAAAAAATTTTTCAATATGTTTACTTGATTGGTGCCCTTCACGCCATCTAAATCACATCTATCAAATCTTGGCATTTTGCTCTGATATGGAGTA
Organism: Homo sapiens; assembly: GCF_000001405.40. Taxonomy (NCBI): domain Eukaryota; kingdom Metazoa; phylum Chordata; class Mammalia; order Primates; family Hominidae; genus Homo; species Homo sapiens. The sequence continues at coordinate 9,282,026 of NC_000006.12, read as the reverse complement.
ACAATGATGTATTAGAAGAGGTGCCAACTTGGAACAGCATTGGCTGAATAGGCTGAAATAGGTGTTGAAGTATTGACACCGGGTACCGTTTCAACCCCTAGGCATGCTGTGAGCTAGCACAGAATGAACTGAACTATGTGCCTGAGTTATTGGCAAACTACTTTTAATCATGAGCTACTGTTGAGTCAAGCCTACAACTCATTCCACTCACTTTCCTTATGGCAGTATAAAATAAACTTGGAAAAAGATGCAGGCTTTTATGTTTCATGGAACAAAATCTTCATGGACAAGACTGACAAAAAGCTCAGAATATTGGGCCTTGTTCTTTTATTTTTATTTTTTTCACATTGTAGATATAAATGATTGAAGTTAGTCAAGTTTTTAACTTTTAATTATGTGCATATATAGTATGTGTATATATACATTTATAGGTTCATGGCATATTTTGACACAGGCATGCAATGTGTAATTATCATGTCAGGGTAATCGGGGTATCCATTACTTCAAACATTTGCCCTTTGTGTTACAAGTAATCCAACTATACTATTTCAGTTATTTTTAAATGTACAATTAAATTATTATTGACTATAATCACTCTGTTGTGTTAGCAAATGCTAGGTCTTATTCATTCTATTTTTTGTACCCATTAATGATCCCCACCTGCCCATCACATGCCTCCACCCCCCACTATCCTTCTATACTCTCTCCATGAGTTCAATTGTTTTAATTTTTAGCTTCACAAAGAAGTGAGAACATGTGAAGTTTGTCTTTCTGTGCCTGGCTTATTTCACTTAACATAATGACCTCCAGTTTCATCCATGTTGCAAATGACAGGACCTCAATCTTATGGCTGAATAGTGCTCCATTGGGTTCAAATTATCACATTTTTTATCTATTTATCTGTTGGTGAATACTTAGGTTGCTTCCAAATCTTGGCTATTGTATTTTTTGAGGAACCTCCAAACTATTCTCCCTAGTGAGTGTGCTAATTTACGCTCTCCCATCAACAGTAGACAGGCCTTCCCTTTTCTTCACATCTTCACTAGCATTTGTTATTGCCTGTCTTTTGGATAAAAGCAATTTTAACTGGCATGAGATGATATCTCATTGTAGTTTTGATTTGCATTTCTCTGATGATCAATAATGCTGAGCACCCTTTCTTATACCTGTTTGACATTTGTATGTCTCTTTTTGAGAAATATCTGATCAGATCTGTTGCCTATTTTTAAGTTGAATTATTAGGGTTTTTTTTCTATAGACTTGATTGAGCTCTTTATGGATTCTGTTTATTACTCCCTTGTCAGATAGGTTGTTTGCAAACATTTTCTCCCATTCTGTGGGTTGTTTCTTCACTTTGTTGATGGTTTCCTTTGCTAGGCAGAAGTATTTTAACTTGATGTAATCCCATCTGTCCATATTTGCTTTGGTTGCCTGTGCTTGTGGAGTATTACTCAAGAAATCTTTGCCCACTCCAATGTCCTGAAGAGCTTCCCGAAGGTTTTCTTTCAGTAGTTTCATAGTTCGAGGCCTTGGATTTAAGTCTTTAATCCATTTTGATTTGACTTTTGTGTTTTGTGAAAAATAGGAATCTAGTTTCATTCCTTTGTGCATGGATATCCAGTTTTCCCATCACCATCGATTGAAGAGACTGTCCTTTCCCCAAGGAATGTTCTTGGTACTTTTGTCAAAACTGAGTTCACTGTAGACATATGTATGTAGATGTAGATGTATTTTATTTAAGATAGTTTTAGCTATTCTATGACTTCCGTAGTTCCAAATATATTTTTTTCTATTTCTGTGAAGAATGTTTTTGGTATTCTGATAGAGATTGCATTGAATCTGTAGATTGCTTTAATAGTATGGGCATTTTAAAAATATTCATTTTTCCAAGCTATGAACATGAAATAACTTTCCATTTTTTGAGGGTTCTCTTCAATTTTTTGCATTAATTTTATATAGCATTTATTGTAGAGATAGTTCACTTCTTTGGTTAATTCCTAGGTATTTTATGTTATTTCTAACTATTATAAATGGAATTAGTTTTCTTGATTTCTTTTTCGTATTGTTTGCTACTAGTATATAGAAATTCTACTATATACTAGATTTTTTTTTTCTAATTTTGGATCCTGTAGCTTTACTGAATTTGTTTGTCAATTCTAATAGATTTTTTTGGTGGTGTCTTTAGATTTTTCCAAATATAAGATCATATCATCTGCAAACAAGGATAATTTGACTTATTCCTTTCCAATTTGGGTGCCCTTTATTTCTTTCTCTTGTATGATTTCTCTAGCTGGGACTTCCAGTACCATGTTGAATAACAGTGGTGAAAGTGGGCATCCTTGTTGTGTTCTCAATATTAGAGGAAAAGGTTTCTGTTTTCTCCCATTTAGTATGATACTAGCTGTGGGCCTGTCATATGTGGCTTTTATGATGCTGAGTTATGTTCCTTCTGTACCCAGTTTTTTGAGAATTTTTATCGTGAAGGGATGTTGAATTTTATCAAATGTTTGTTTTAGCATCAATTCAAATGATCATAGGGTTTTGTCCTTCATTCTGCTAATATGATGTTTCACATTGATTGATTTGCATATGTTAGCCATCCTTGTATCCCTGGGATAAATCCCACTTGGTCATGACAAATAATCTTTTTAATGTGTTGTTGAATTTGGTTTGCAAGTATCTTGTTGAGGATTTTTACATCAATATTCATCAGTGATATTGGCCTGTAGTTTTATTTCCGTTGCTGTGTCTTTCTCTGGTTTTGGTATCAGGGTAATAGTGGCCTCATAGAATGAAGTATTTGGAAGTATACCCTCCACCTCTATTTTGTAAAATAGTTTAAGTAGGATTGGTATTAGTTCTTCTTGAAATCTTTGGTAGAATTCAGCAGTGAAGGCATTGGGTCCCAGTTTTTTTTGTTGTTGTTGTTTGTTTGTTTTTCTGGGAGGCTTTTTATTACGGCTTTGTTTTCATTACTTGTTAGTGGTCTATTCAAGTTTTGGATTTCTTTATGGTTCAATCTTGATAGGTTGTATGTTTCTAGGAATCTATTTCTTCTAGATTTTTACATTTATTGGCATACAGTTGCTATTGTAGCCACTAATGACCCTTTGAATTTCTGTGGTATTGGTTGTAATGTCTCCCCTTTTCATCTCTATTATTATTATATCATTATTATTTTTGAGATAGAGTCTCACTTTGTCACCAGGCTGGACTGCGATGGTGCGATCTCAGCTCACTGCAACCTCTGCCTCCTAGGTTGAAGTGAGTCTCCTGCTTCAGCCTCCCAAGTAGCTGGGACTACAGACGCGTGCCACCATGCCCAGCTAATTTTTGTATTTTTAGTAGAGACGGGGTTTCACCATGTTGGCCAGGATGGTCTCGATCTCTTGACCTCATGATTCACCCACCTCGGCCTCCCAAAGTGCTGAGATTACAGGCGTGAGCCACTGTGCCCAGCCTCTAATATTATTTATGTGGATCTTCTCTCTTGTTTTTCTTAGTTAGTCTGGCTAAAGTGTTGTCAGTTTTCCTTATCTTTCAAAAAAAACCAACTTTTTGTTTCACTGATCTTGTGTGTTATTTTCTTCATTTCAATTTCATTTATTTCTGCTCTGATCTTTATTACTTTCTTCTCCTAATTTTGGGTTTGAGTTTGCTCTTGTTTTTCTAATTCTTTAAGCTGCATCACAAGGTTATTTATTTCAAAATTCTCTTCTTGTTTGATGTAGGCACTTATACACTGCTCTCTCAGTGTGGCTTTTACTGTATCCCATAGGTTTTGGTGTGTGGTGTTTTCATTATCATTTGTTTCAAGAAATTTATTTCCCTTCTTAATCTATTCATTAACCCACTGGTCATTCAGGAGTCAGTATCTTAATTTAGTCTTTAACAACTACTAAAGAAAATTACTTGTCTATCATATTGTGAAAGAAGAACCATTTGACTTTTGATGTGGCTGTCAGTACCTAAATCAGGAAAGACTCATTCAAAAAAACCACACACTACGTATGTCTCAATAGCAGAAGAAATTCAGTGTTGGAATTTGTAAAGATGATAACTGAAGAGCCAAATGGGGAATAGTGAGTCAATCCAAGGACCAACAACAGCAGGAAAAAGGTATTGCCTTTAGGCCTGGAGGGACAATGAAGGTTGTGGTCTTGACAGAGCCCAGAAGTCAGAGCTTTACATCGAGAACCAGAGTGGAGGCTGTCCAGCATCAACTGGGACCATGAAGCGAGGAGTAGTAGTCTGGTGGTAGCTGGAGACACAGAGAGACACTGTTACTGTCAGGGACATTGCATATTGAAAGCAGAGAAAGAAAGGGCAAGATTCCTGGGCTTCTCCCCTCTCTCTGCTTTCTAGTCTTCCATAGGTACCTCTTATTAGCTAAATATATGGGAAGTGACATATCAAAGGATCTGGGAATGTTCTTCACTGAGAGAGAGACCAGAGCTGGAAGAAAACAGAGAACACATAAGGATAGCCAAAGCTATCCGAAGTAAAAGAAACACAACAGGAGGAATCATATTACCTGACTTCAAATTATACTAGAGAGCTATAGTAACCAAAATGACATGGTACTGACATAAAAACAGACACATAGGCCAGTGAAATAGAATAAAGAACTCTGAAATAAATCCATACATCTACAGTGAACTCATTTTTGATGTAAGTGACAAGAACATACATTGGGAAAAGGACAGTCTCTTCAATAAATGGTGCTGGGAAAACTGGATATCCATATGCAGAAGAATGACATAGACCCCATCTCTGACCATACAAAAAAATCAAAATGGATTAAAATGGATTAAAGATTTAAATCTAAGACCTTGGGGAATCTCTTCAGGACCTTGGAGTGGGCAAAGATTTCTGAGTAATACTCCAGGGAAGAAAGAAGACAGAGAATACCCAAGACATCAAACAAACAAACAAACAAACAAAAAAACTGACTCAGTACTCTTTTAGCATAATTCTGCTACAATTTATGCTTGTATAAGCTTATGTTCTAGCTATGCTGAAGTACTGAAGTATATGTAATTTCCCAAAATATGCTGTGTCTCGAATCTGTGGCTTTGCCCAAGCTGCTTTCTCGGTGGAAATGCCCCTTTTATTTACATCCCCTTGGTAGATAGCTACTTATCTTTAAAGATTTGTTACTCTGAGACCTGTCCTAACCACCTTTTCCTATTCCACTAGAATTAGACACATCCTCCTTTTTGCACCTATTGTACTTTCTCTATATAAATATCATAGCGTTTCATCATTATAGTTAACATGTCTACCCTCTCCTACTAAATGGTAAGCTGGAGAGAGTAAGAGCTTATTTTCATTGTTTCAATGCTTGTGACACCTATCACAGTGCCTGGCTTATAATTCTGCACATAAATAGGTAATGAGTGAATAAGTGACTAGGTGGATAGTGGATAGAATCCCAGGAGATCTAAATAAATACTCACATCCTGCCTTCACAGTCTAGTGTTTGTACTACAATTCTAACCCTTCACTTTCTGACATTGAGATACATATTAACTACTTTGTTAATTGACTGCAAGGAGGAGAAATCCTTTTCTTTATTGATAGGCTCTTTATTAACCTCCTATTTGCCTATAAAAGACTATTTTAGGAGTTAAGAAATACTGAGGAATGTATAGTCTAACTGAATCTTTTGAATGACCTCAAACCAATTAATTTTTTTATGTAGACTGGCGTTAGTACATACTAAAATAATTTGTATTCTGGTTAATATATTTAACTATATAACTGAATAATTAAAAAAATCTACTATTCAATAAGCAACTCAATAAGTATATGATGGTTAATTTTATGTGTCAACTTCATTGGGCCATGAAGTGCCCAGATATTTAGTCTAACGTTTCTTTAAATGTGGGTCAGTATTAGTACATATTAAAATAATTTGTATTCTGATTAATGTATTTAGCTATATAACTGAATTCATTTTTAAAAACAACTACTATTCAATAAGCAGATCAATAAGTATGTGATGTTAATTTTATCCATCAACTTGATTGGGCCATGGAGTGCTCAGATACTTAGTCAAACATTATTCTGTGTGTGTCAGTGAGTTTTTTTTGGATGAGGTTAACATTTTCATCAGCAGACTGAGTAAAAAAGATTATGCTCTCTAATGTGGATGGACCTCATCCAATCAATTGAAGACCTAGATAAAACAGAAATGTTAACCCTTTCTGCATTAAGGGGAAACTCCTCCTGCCTGGCTGCTTGAGCTGGAATTTTTTCTGCCCTTCAGACTTAAACTGAAACATTTGCTCTTCTTAGAACTTGAGCCTGCCAACTTTTGAACTGGGACTTATACCTCATTGGCTCTCCTGATTCTACAGCTTGCTAACCGCAGATCTTGGGATCGCTCACCCTCCATAAACATGTAAGCTAAGTTCTTATAATATGTATTTTTATATCTCTCTATCTATTATCTATCTATCTATCGATCGATCTATCTATCTCCTATTGGTGCTATTTTTCTGGAGACTCCTGACTGATACATATTTTGGTACCCAGAGCTGTTTTAGAGGACATAATTTTAAGAGTATTTTCTGAATTGATTCTGGGGTTTCTAAAATTGGCTCCTTAATTTGCTTAGATTTAAATATACCAGTAACTCAATTTCCAGTGGTAAAGAGAGCGCTGATAGTCTATGGCAGGCAATACAGATACATAAGATGTCACTGTTAGAAATTCTTAATCAACCATTTGAAGGAAACAAAGATCTGGGTAACTGTATAATGTGATATTTTTGAACATTTTCTGCAAACTAACAAATTTAATGAGATGGGCTGGCTGAGCTTATGGTCTGAATAAAGTGGGAAAAGAAAAGGATGATCTCAGGGATTTGAATTCTCAGCTCAAACATCACATACATAACTTGAAAGCTTCTATGTGTACCTTCAAGGAAACGTTTATCTCCATTAAGGGCTGAGATTGCTGAAAGTCAAATGCAGAATCTCATTCTGTGACTAGTTTAATTACAATTCAAGTTGAACTTCCAGCCTTGAATGGTGTCTACAATTAAAGTGAGGGCATGAAGTGGAAAGAAATGGGATCCTGAAAGCTAGAATGAGACAGCTTATGCCTGTCCCATCATTATATTTGAAAGCACATAACTCATCTGGTTTTACAGATTGACAGCTAGCGAGGAATTTTGCCTCAGGATGCATCATACCTCAAGTATAAGCCATATCTAATTTAGATAACACTTAGTTGAGACTTTGGACTTTAGGGTTGGGATGAGCTAAGAATTTTAGGGCTATTGGGATGAAATGACTGTATTTTATATGTTAGAAGTCCAAGAATTTAAGGGGGTGAGGGAAAAGTGTTAAGGACTGTATTTAAGGGGGTGAGGGAAAAGTGTTAAGGACTGAATTCTGTTTCCTCCAAAAATGTATATGATAGACATAACCCCCAATGTTATGGTATTCAGAGATGGAGTATTTTGGAGAAAATTAGGATTAAATGAGGTTATGAGAGTGAAATCCTCATAAAAAAAATTAGTGCCCTCATAAGAAGAGACACCAGGGAGTTTACTCTCCTTCTCTCTTTCTGCTATGTGAGGAATTGTGAGGAGGTGGCCATCTGCAAGCCAGGAAGAAAGCCCCCACCAAAATGTAATCATGCTGGCATGCTGATCTCAGACTTCCATCTTCCACAACGGTGAAAAACATATTTATGTTGCTTATACCATCTAGTAAATGGTATTTTGTTATGGTAGCCCAAGCCAACTAAGACATTGTACCAATCTAGATGATGCCATTAGTTTTCGGAATCTACTCAAACCAAATGAGCATATGAGCTTTGTTTCCACTAGCAGCATAATCTACATTGCTTCTGCATCTTGAGAAACCTGTATGTAACAATATTTAAATTGGTATCAAGTTGAATCAACCAAAATATATTTAAATGTTCCACATAATGCATATTATGAGCTATGGTCTATGGGAAATTATTATTGGTGAGATTCTGTAAAGCAGGTGGCTATCATTTTGGAAACATAGTCCAAAACTATATAGAGTCAGGGTCTTGCTTGCTGTGTTGCCCAGGCTGGAGTGCAGAGGCATGATCATAGCTCACTGCAGCCTGGACCTCCTGTGCCCAAGTGATTGATCCTCCCACCTCAGCCTTCTGAGTAGTTAAGGTGCCACCTTGCCTGGTTATTTTTATTATTATTATTATTATTTTTTTTTTTAGTAAAGACAATGTCTCACTGTGTTGCCCACACTGGTATCAATTTCCTGGGCTCAAGCAATCCTCCCTGCTCAGCTTCCCAAAGTCCTGGTATTAAAACAATATTTTATGCCAGTTTAAGTTTATAGGAAGAGATGTAAATTTCTAGAATAAAGTTTTCTATAATTAAGTAAATCAAGTGCATCATATTGACATTTAAATTAAAGGTTTGACAATTAATAAAATCTTCAATTTCTATATCTCATTATACTATTCAACATAATTTGTAGCTGACACATAGTTTCTACTTTAACATGATGGTATTTCCCAATGGCACTTTTATTTCTAAATTCCCATTCTCTCTATTAAATACTCAAGCCAATGTTATTTAGATCAAACACTGCACTTCCCCTGGAAATTTGTTTGTAGGCTCTTCTACTTTGTCAACTCTTCATTACAATTTGATCTTATATAAATTATACTCATAAGTCAAACGTTTTGGCAAACAGAGACGTTTCGCAGGTCAGATTTAAATGGTGGCAACAAATATTTTGAAATATTTAATAGTTCAAACTTTTTAGTCATTTTTTCCAAATGTGTAAAGCAAGCAAACATACTTAAAATAGCAACAGTAAAAAGTCAGTGTACTAAACAGAGAGAGTCAACAGCTGGTAGAAAATTGAATTGAACTTTGTCCAGACACAATAGAAAAAGGAAATTAAAGGCTTCAAATTGCTTATAGCAGACCAGAGTAAATCCAAATGCATTTTGGGGTCATTAAAACATCTTGAACAATTTTCCAAAGATTTTAGTACAAGAAGCCCCCAACTCCCAAAAAAAGAAAATTTGCTAAGCATTACTTTCCTATCATATTTCATAAGAAATTTAATCCATATGTTTTGGATTCATTCATACTTAAGTCATCAAACAGTTTTTGTGCAAGAGCTATTTGATTTCTAAGAAATCATTTGAGCCTTTTATAGAAGTCCACTCATTTTCTTTGAAGTAAGTTTTGGAAAACTGAAAATACTTGACTCACTGTTTAAACTTAGCTTTTAAGGTTTTGTACAATCATGGAACCTCAGATTTTAGAAGAGATAGTAAACATAATCTATTCCAACATCTAACCCAAAATAGAATGTCTCTTAAAAATCTTTGGCAGATAAAAAAAAATATTTACTTCTTATTTGCAGTGATAGGGAACTCATTATTTCAGAAGAAATTTTATCCCATCAAACCTCATCTTCTCTTTTATCCTATCACAATTATTTGGCATTCATAATATAAGGCTGTGTGTGTGTGTGTGCACATGTGTGAATTATGACTTACTTCTTTTTTTAGAGAGCTTCCTAGTACTTTACTGCTACTTTGTCTTGATTTTGATAATTTTAGAATTTAGCTGATGTAGAGAAACTAACTCAAGTTTGATACACTAATAATTTTTCTTAGAAAAGCTTCATTACTTTTTTGTTTAAATTTGTAATAGACACAGATGTATATTCTGCATAAATAGTTCCAATTCATCTAGATCACACTTTATGAGAAAATATTACTTCCCCAATTTAGGGATGGGGAAACCAAATTTCAGAGAATTAATTTGTTTTAATGATGCCACATGACTATCTCATAGCTCTTTTATTCAAACCCGGGTCCTGATTCCAAAGCCCTGGCTTTTTCCCTTCTACATTGAACTTAATCCCAATTAAAATGTTCATATTTATAAGGGCTTTTTCTCCATGTAGTAGTTATAAAAAACAAACTGAATTTTACACTCTTACATTATATGTAAATGCTACAGAATTGTCTAATTATGTATTATGAATAGGGCAAGTCACATGAAAGTACTGCTTCTGTCACTCAAAAATGTTTAGTATCTGCAATTGTATATGTCCAATTAAACATGTAGATATACTTGCCTCCATGTTTGTATTAAGTTTTGTAGTAGAACATTTCTGGTAATGCATACATATAAGCTCAGCATATGAACAAATCTGATTATAGTAAAAAGTGGTTTATTCAAAAGATAGAAGCGAAAAAAATCATGGACATTTGTCTATGTGTAAGTATTTAACTGAAAAAATAATCAAACACTAGTGCAAATTATGCAAGAAATGCGAGGCTTTGGAATTATTCTTCTCTGACTTCACTTTATTTACTGAGAGCCAACTATGTTACAAGCACTGGGTCCAGTCCTTGCAACATGAGAATGAACAAGTCACTGTTTCTCTTTCAGAGCCTTTAGTTTTTTGGAGAGGTTATTCTCTCTTTTATTATTCATAATGTGGCTCAAGTATTCAAATCCAGATTTCCTGGCTATATTTCTGTGGGTTTTGTTTTTGTTTATGTTTTTTTTTTTTCTAACTCTTAATTCTCTTAATTCTTGGGTGGCCCAATGGTTTTCTAGTTGGAAATGTGACTTCTCTCAGCTTCTTTTAAAAATATCTCTTTTAATTTTTTTGCTTTCTGTTTTCATGACTGGCATTGAAGTTTCTCTGGTGGAAAGCATTCTTGTTATAAGTTCTGAATTTCAGTTTCAAAAATGTTATTGCTCAAATTATCTAATTAATCATCAGAATTTTGTGTTGTCCTTAGAAAAATATCATTTTCCATACTTCCAGTGAAATCATCAAACAAAATGTCAAAGCACCAGAATATTCAAAAAGTAAGAAACAAGATATGATTTTACTAGGTATACTTTTTAAAATATTGATGTTTAAATACAATTTAGTCATAACCTTCACTCAACATTTATTGAGTGCCCACCTTATTGGTAGCAGGAGGAAACTGTAATAGAAGTTTTAAGGTAATCTCACATTGAAGAACCATTTTTCGGGAGAAGAATTGGATAATATGAAAGAAAGCAAATAATAACATAGCTGTAGATGTGATTATTTAAATGATCCTTGTGATGAAAACCAGGAATGGTTGTAGTTGAAAGAACAGCAGGCTGTAGGTTGGCAAATGCAGATGTGGAACATTTTGGTATGATGAGTAATAATTATAGTGTACCAGTAGACATATCATCATTTTTATTTTTTTATTTTTATTTTTTTGTCACCCAGGCGGGAATGCAATGGTACTTGGCTCACTGCATCCTCCACCCCCCAGGTTCAAGTTATTCTCCTACCTCAGCCTCCTGAGTAGCTGAGATTACAGGCATGTGCCACCACGGGCAGCTGATTTTTGTATTTTTAGTAGAGATGGGGTTTCACCATGTTGGCCAGACTGGTCTCGAACTCCTGACCTCATGATCTGCCTGCCTCAGCCTCCCAAAGTGCTGGGATTACAGGCGTGAGCCACTGTGCCTGGTCCGCAAGTAGATATATTTTCTAGGCAAGGAATATGAATTGAGGTATTACACGAGACTAAAATAAGCATGGCAACAGGGATTACAGAATAAAAACAATGGAATGGAAGGTGCTTTAGAAATTATCTCATTCAAACATTATGAATTTACTGAGAATTACACAAAAGCTCCAGTTTTTCCCAGGTAACGTCTCATACAGCTGGTACTGGATTCTAAAAATCAGAACTCTAAATCCAATACTTTCTCCATTTGTGTGAGTGATGTTGTTTGATAGGGTATGGTCAAGAGAATGTAAGAGAGCAAAGTGAAAGCTTTGAAGATCCACGTTACAATTGTATTCATTGGTAAATTCCAAGCTGTGTTGCTTAACTGTATGATACATTGAACAGATATGTGAACTTCTTGAATTAGAAATCTATCAATAGATGCGAAAGGAATACATTATTCATTCAGCAAAAGGTATATACTTAAAATAAAAATCCAATGTGAAATTTTACAATTAAATTGATAGCGTAATAAATAAAGAGTTTAGCTGGCACTCCAAATGTTGGACTGTGGGTCAGACACGTTTGGGATCCAGGCAAGAAAATACCTGAAGCTGGGTGGAGAAAGTAAAAAGTTTGCCAATGATTATGTTATTGATCTAGGGTATTAAACCTGGATTGCGTGTATAATAAATCCTAAACCAACTCAAAGGCAGTCCTATTTGTGAAATTGTCGGAACTGTTCATTTAATTTATGATACCAGGTTGCCAAAGCTATTAAAAAACATATAGAAGGATCAATCATCATTTGAAATCTTTGAAAAAAATGTTATAAAAACCATCACAATGGGTTTTTGACTTGGGGCAAGGAGTTGGACAAGTTTGCACAGGATCTTAGAGCTGATATTGTTATTTCTCTGTGGATAAAGAAAGATAAAGTTAAGAAATATTACATTAACAAGAAACTCAGGTAGAGGAGTAGTTTTATGTATGAATTGTTAATACTCCTTAGAATTGGTTCTTTATTTATATATTTTCTTACAGTTAATATATTTTCATTTTAAAAATTTACCTTTTAAAAGTATTAAATGTCATATTTTATTCAGTTAGCAACTATATTACTAGACCTATAGAGATGAATTGGGGAAAAAATCCAACTTCTGAAATATAATTGTCTCCTTTTGCTTTCCAGAGGCGTAACTGAAGTGCTTACTTTTGTAATAAGTCATTGGGCAGACCTAGGTCTGATCTCAGATTCCAGGGCTCTTTCCTTGTCACAGAGCTTCCTCTTTGTACTAAAATGCTAATAGTGAGTTTTAACAACAATAACAACAACAAAATAATAATTTAATTTGCTTGCACAGTGCAGGTGGTTGCAACCAAAGTATAATTGATGTATCCAGATGACTTTAAATGCCAGGTGGTCATTTTAAGGTGGCACATTTTTATACATCCTGATTATTACGAGTAGCAGAGACTCTGCCGAGATTTGCATTACTACTAAGCATCCTTACATATGTGACGGCCTTAGATCCCTTCAGCAGCCCTGTGAGACTCAAATAAAAGCAAATACCAGGAAGATGAAATTACGCTCCCAAGGTTGTAGGACTACTAAGCAGCAAAGATAAAATTTTAACCCAAGCTCCTTGGAACCCACTGCCCAGCTTTCTGAGTGTTCTAGCCATAATAAAGCAGGGAGAAGGTCAGAGAGACGGAGCATAAGAACTCTTAAAATTGTTTATATCAATGTCTGTATAATTCCGTCATTCCAACACTGAGAATAAAAATTATAAAATGTTCAGAGTTTCACCAGGCATATGCAAATGTTGGAGTTACTATCCTTTACTTTTTTACTAAAATACATAATTATTAAACCCTAAATGCATTAACACCAGAGTTACTCAAATCTAAATACAAATGCCTACTTTTTTAAAAACTATGTGAGTTGTCACAGATCCTTGCTCATAAAGTAAGCAAATGTGGCACATATACACCATGGAATACTATGCAGCCATAAAAAATCATGAGTTCATGTCCTTTGTAGGGACATGGATGAAGTTGGAAACCATCATTCTCAGCAAACTATCGCAAGGACAAAAAACCAAACACCGCATGTTCTCACTCATAGGTGGGAATTGAACAAAGAGAACACATGGACACAGGAAGGGGAACATCACACACCAGGGACTGTTGAGGGGTGGGGGGAGGGGGAGGGATAGCATTAGGAGATATACCTAATGCTAAAAGACGAGTTAATGGGTGCAGCACACCAACATGGCACATGTATACATATGTAACAAACCTGCACCTTGTGCACATGTACCCTAAAACTTAAAGTATAATAATAATAATAACAATAAAAAGAAAATAAAACCTTATAAGTCCACAAAAAAATAAATTAAATAATCAATAAAATGGTTAACTTTTGTATAAACAGCTCACATCTGAGAGTGACTTGCCAAGGTGGACAACTAAAGCTTAGGGAGCTTAAACTGAGCCTGAGTCTCCTCCCTAAGTTCAGAGTGACTTCTGCGGCAAACATTTCCCCAGAGGAAACAAAAATACCAATATTATTGTTTTTTAAAAAACATGTAGTATATATAACTACATAACATATTTACTTGGAACTATTTGGTATATCTATATAGTTCTAATTGTTAGTTGATAATCTTTTTTTTAAATCATTGTGCCAAACTCAAGAACCCCAAAGAGTACTTGAATTCTGACTGAACAATATTTATCCAATTAAAAAAAGCATATATATGTATGTAATGATGGGTGCCACAATAAGTATCTTAATGCGATTATTTAATATTTATTTCTTAAATCTTAAAATGTGAATCCTATTTTAATAATTTTTTTCAGTCCGTAATTTGTCTAATGTGATGTTCGCTTGCATTTCCTCATCCATAGAACACTGTATCTCAGGAGGTTCCCTTTACTGTTCTGTCCAAGTACTTCCATCCAAGAGGTGATTGACTGTACCACCATGACCCTCTACACTTTGAAAGAACATGCAACATCACTGCTTTGTGTATTGTCTTTATCTGTTCTTCTTCTTTATGTCTCTTTTATCTTTTTAATATTTTTTCTTTTCTATGATTACCTTTCCATCACCACTTACCACACTCGATTCCACCTTTCCCTGCATAGCTTTCTCCATTTAGCCAGACCTAATTATAGTGATTCTGTCCTGAGAAGTGGAAAGATTACAAGTGTAGGTGACAGAAGTGTATAGCTGCTATATGTTTTTGTAATGGATGTCTGGTACTTCTTCCCTCCAACTCAAAGCTTGGAAAGTTAAGTGTAGGACTCATTTTGGGATTTTTCTGCAAGAAGGAAAATCCTCTTGTTCCCATTAGAGGAGTCTGTTTGTGAAGTCCTCTTAGGCAACTAACACCATGTGGGAAGAAAGAGAGGATTAAGAACATCACAATAGGCACAAAAATAGGGTCTATTTTCACATTACACAGTTAAATTAGAAAGGAAGGAAATAAAGACATCAGTGGATAAAATTAATGTAATTGGAGAATACTGTAGTCAAAGTAGTTTGTTTGCTCTAATCTTGTACATGATATAAAAATGTTGTTGCGAATGGACCCCATCTGCAAGTAATCACAGTCAGAGACTAAATGGAATCAACAGTGGTGATCTGGTAGAGAGGCAAATGCCTAGGCAGATTTCCTTGGGAATACATAATCAACAGTCCCATGATTAATACATAAAAGTGTATTACAACTCTGAAAATTAATTCATATGCCCATGCTAAGGATTTGAAATGATGAAAAAATTGTTTCCAGCTCTACAGTTCTTCTATTTATACTTTCCTTTCCTTTTTTTCTTATTCTTTTTTTGAGTAAAGTTCTCACTCTGTCATTCAGGCTGGAGTGCAATTGCACGATCTCAGCTCCCTCAACGTCCCAGGCTCAGGTTATCCTCCCACCTCAGCCTCCTGAGTAGCTGGCACTACAGGCACGCACCTATCACACCTGGTTAGTTTTTGTATTTTTTTTGTAGAGACATGGTTGTTTGCCATGTTGTCCGCACTGGTCTCGGACTCCTTAGCTCAAGCAATCTGCCTGCCTGGGCTTCCCAAAGTGCTGGGATTACAGGGGTGAGCCACCATGCTTAGCCTATTTTTTCTTTATTTAAATGGCATAGATAACCACTTTGCTTGTATGGTCAGCCCATCATCAAAACAGTCATTTAGTATGAAAGGCCTTGGAAGTGTGTTTGTACCAAAAAGGAGATGGGTACCTATTCCTCAGTATCCCAAGTAGTGTGTGATCATACATGTTGTATTTTAAAACATTGCTTTTTTTCCATCCAAATTTAAAGAGTAGCATCATCATCATCATCAACAACAACAACACACACACAGAAATTCAGGAAGAGAATGAGTCTTACAGGTGTATCTCTACTGCTTTGGACTACAGGAATATTATATTTATTTAAGAATTGATTAGCTTTGGTTGTGAATATCTTGTAAGTAAATGATTAAACCCAATCTTAGTCTATGAAAACCTTGAGAAGACTCAAGGTTTTCTTGAGAAGATCTTCTCAAGATCTTCTGTGAAGATCTTTCCAAGAAGAATAGAGGGTATACCCCTAACAATAACTGGGTATTCACTAATTCCTTCTCCAGTGATTTTCTCTCTGATAGTATAAGTAGGACTTGCTTAGTGCAGGATAAGCAACACTTGGCATTCTGGGTCACTAATTTTATTCTGATATTTGGGAGGTAATTTCAGTAATTTCTACAGTAATTCAAAATATCATTTTGCTACTGAAGCAAATAACAGGGTGCTGAATTTGCATGGATATAAAATATAAAATGTGAAACATATTATTTACTTAGTTTTATCTGTCTTAACAATCCCTGCTAATAGAAGCTTATTCTCACCTGCATTAAAACAGCCTCTGCACAAGTTTGCTTTTCATCACATTATTCTCTTTATTTTTTCATAGACATTCTCACAATTTGAAATTGCCTTGATGGTATTTGGATTACTTTTTTATTATTTGTGCAATGCCAGAATGCAAGATCCATAGAAGCAGAGTTCTCATCTGTCTTGGTCATGTATATTTATACACGCCTATATCAGAGCATCCTTGGTTGTTCAGTTTTTATTCGTTGAAAAGGATGATTGAAAGATTTAGTTAATTGGATTTTTTAAAGCTTTAGAATTATTGACTTAATAGATTCCAGGCACACTTCTAAATGATTTTCCATGACTCGCTAGCTATTTTGAGGTTATTTCTATTTTTAAGAAGATGACATAAGAATCTAGTAGGTTAAATACTTTATCCTAAAACACAGAAATAACTGCTATGTCTTCAACCTAACCCCTTCTCTGTTACCTTCAGAGTTAAAATTTACAAAGTTGAACTGAGCTAAAAATAATGCAGTGGTTAAAAGCTTGAGCTTTAATATTAATCTAACTTCATATCTAACTGGATCCACTAGTTTCTAAACATGCCCGTAAGTCAACCTCTCTAAGGTGGACACAATAATTCCTATTTCCTTGAGTTGTGAGAATTGATGCAATGATGTATACAATGTACTTAACACAGTGCCTGGCATGTAAGAAGCTCCCCCACATAGTAGCTCTTCTTATTACTTGTTTGAGTGAATTTTCAAGGAAGAATGGCATGAAGTCTGGGCGTAACCTGACAACAGAACTAGGAATTAAACTAGAGGAAAGTGTGATCTTTGTGAGGAAAATACAGTTGGTTCCATGAATGATGCTGTATAATCTGGTACACATGTAAAGTCCATGCTAAACATCTTGTTTACTTCTGCAGGTATTAAAATGTTACAAATATTACTATAGTTCACTTAAAATTAAAGTTATAACATATAAATTACAGGATAACCCTATGTCACCATGAAAAGTTATTTACATTATACAAATATACAATCCGTATACAATCTTTTTCTCCAAGCTGCCTTGAAATATAATTATAAAAACAGAAATCATATATGTTTATGGTACACAATGTGATGTTTTAACACACGACATATTGTGAAATTAATACCACAGGCAAGCTAATTAAGATATTCATCACTTCACATGATTATATGTGTGTGTGTGCATGTGTGTGTGATGAGAACACTGAAGATCTACTATTTTAGCTATTTTCTAGTATACTATACATTATTATTGACAATAGTAACCATGCTGCACAAAAGACCTCTAGAACTTCTTCATCCTAACTGAAACATTCTAACTACTGGTCAACATCTCACCATTTCCTTCCCTGCCTTCATCCTATGGCATCCACAGTTTTACTCACTGCTTCCATGAGTTCCACTTGTTAAATTCCACATATAAAGTGAGATCAAGGGGTATTTGTCTTTCCATGCCTGGCTTATTTCACTTAACATAATGTCCTCCAGGTTCATCCATGTTGTCTCAAATTACAGAATTTTCTTATTTTTTTAAGGCTGAAGAGTGCTCCATTGTGTATTACACCATTTTCTTTATCCATTCATCTTTCAGTAGACATTTAAGTTGATTCCATACCTCTGTCTGTTGTGAATAATGCTGCAATACACATGAAAATGCAGGTATCTCTTCAACATACTGAATTAATTTCTTTTGAATATATACCCAGAAGTAAGATTGCTGGATCGTATAGTAGTTTCATGTTTGTTTTTAAATGAATCTTCGTGCTA
Organism: Homo sapiens; assembly: GCF_000001405.40. Classification (NCBI taxonomy): domain Eukaryota; kingdom Metazoa; phylum Chordata; class Mammalia; order Primates; family Hominidae; genus Homo; species Homo sapiens. Next base: position 9,263,857 of record NC_000006.12, on the reverse strand, counting down.
TTTTTCATAATTTCTGTACTAATTTACATTCCTACTAATAGTATATACCCTTTTGTCCACATCCTTGCCAAAAGTTTGAAGTCTTTTGTCTTATTGAAAATAGCCGCGGATCACGAGGTCAGGAGATCGAGACCATCCCGGCTAAAACGGTGAAACCCCGTCTCTACTAAAAATACAAAAAAATTAGCCGGGCGTAGTGGCGGGCGCCTGTAGTCCCAGCTACTTGGGAGGCTGAGGCAGGAGAATGGCGTGAACCTGGGAGGCGGAGCTTGCAGTGAGCCGAGATCCCGCCACTGCACTCCAGCCTGGGCGACAGAGCGAGACTCCGTCTCAAAAAAAAAAAAAAAAAAAAAAGAAAATAGCCATTCTAATATGTGTGAGGTGATATCTCATTGAGGTTTTAATTTGCATTTCTCTGATATTTAATGATCTTGAGCATTTTTTCATATACCTGTTGGCCATTTGTATATTTCCTTTCAAGAAATGTCTGTTCTGTTGACCATTTTTTAATTGAGATTTTTTTGTTTGAGTTCCTTGTATATTTTGGATATTAACCCTTTATTAGATGTATGGTTTACAATTTTTTTTCATTTCGTAGTTTATCTTTTCACTCCACTGATTGTTTCCTGTGTTGTGTGAAAGCCTTTTAATTTGATATAATTGAATTTTTCTCTTTTTGCTTTTGTTGTGTGTGTTTTTGTGGTCATATCCAAAAAATAATTGGTCAGACCAATATTAAGAAGATTTTAAAAATATTTTCTGCTACTACTTTTATAGTTTGGGGTTTTAAATTTAATTATTTCATTCATTTCAAGTTGATTTTGTATATGGTATGAGATAAGGGTCCAATTTCATTCTTCTGCATGTGGATATCTGGTTTTCCTTCCCAAAGGAAAAGAAGATATTTTACTGTCCCTATTGTGTATTCTTGGTACCTTTGTCAAAGATCAATTGAGTATATAAATGTATGGATTTACTTCTGGTCTCTCTATTCCATTACATTGGTCTTTATGTCTTATTATGGCCTTATGATGCCATTCTGTTTACAACAACTTTGTTGTTTATTTTGAAATAATGTAGTTTAATGCCTCCAGCTTTGTTTCATTTTGCTCAAGACTGCTTTGGCTATTCAGGGCCTTTTCTGGTTTCATATGAATTTTAAGGTTCTGTTTTCTTTCTCTGTAAAAAATTCATTGGAATTTTGATAGAGATTGTATTGAATCTATACATTGCTGACATGGTTTGGCTGTGTCCTCACTCAAATCTCATCTTGAATTGTTGTTCCTATAAGCTCTATTTGTCATGGGAGGGACAAATTGGGAGGTAATTTAATCATTGGGGTGATTACCCTCATGCAGTTCTCATGATAGTGAATGAGTTCTCACGAGATCTGATGGTTTTATATGGGCTTTTTCCCCTCTTGCTCGGCACTTCTCCTTGTTGCCACCATGTGAAGAAGGACCTGTTTGCTTCCCCTTGTGCAATGATTGTAAGTTACCTGGGGCCTCCCCAGCTATGCTGATCTGTGAGTCAATTAAACTTCTTTCCTTTATAAATTACTCAGTCTCAGGTATGTCTTTATTAGCAGTGTGAGAATGGACTAACACAGTAAATTGGCCCACTGCAGAAAGTGGAGCACTGCTGTCAAGATACCCCAAAATGTGTAAGTGATTTTGGAACTGGATAACAGGCAGAGATTGGAACCATTTGAAGGGCTCGGAAAAAGGCAGGAAAATGTGAGAAAATTTGGAACTTCCCAGAGACTTGGAGGGCTCAGAAGACAGAAAGATATGGGAAAGTTTGGAACTTCCTAGAGACTTGTTGAATGGCTTTGACTAAAATGCTGGTAGTAATATAGACAATGAAGTTAGGCTGAGGTGATCTCAGATGGAGGTGAGGAACTTGTTGAAAACTGGAGTAAAGCTCACTCTTGCTATGCAGAGAGACTGGCAGCATTTTGCCCCTGCTCTAGAGATCTGTGGAACTTTGAACTTGAGAGAGATGATTTAGGGTATCGGCCAACAGAAATTTCTAAATGGCAAAGCAGCCTGACAATGTGATAGAAAAGAAACCCCCATTTTCTGGGTAGAAAATCAAGTGGGCTGCAGAAATTTGCATAAGTAACGAGGAGCCAAATGTGAATCACCAAGACAATAGGGAAAATGACTCCAGTGCATGTCAGCAACCTTCATGGCAGCCCCTCTCATCACAGGTCTGGAGGCCTAGGAGGGAAAAGTGGTTTCCTAGGCCAGGTCCAGGGCCTCCCTTCTCTATGCAGCATCATGGCATGGTGCCCTGCACCCTAGGTTCATCAGCTCCAGATGTGGCTAAAAGGGGCTAAGGTATAGCTTGAACCATTGTGTCAAGGGTGCAAACCTCAAGTCTTGGTGGCTTCCACGAGGTGATGAGCCTATGGGTGCACAGAAGTCAGGAATTGAGGTTTGAGCACCTCTGCCTAGATTTCAGAGGATGTATGGAAATGCCTGGATGTCCAGACAGAAGTTTGCTGCAAGGGTGAAGCCCTCCTGGAGAACCTCTGCTAGGTTAGTGCAGAAGGGAAATGTGGGGTTGGAGCCCCCACACAGAGTTCCCACTGGTACACTGCCTAGTGGAGCTGTGAGAGGGTTACCATCCTCCAGACCCCAGAATAGTGGATCCAGCAACAGCTTGCATTGTGTGCCTGGAAAAGCCACAGACACTCAATGCCAGCTCATGAAAGCAGCCAGAAGGGGAGCTGTACCCTGAAAAGCCACAGGAGTGGAACTGTCCAAGGCTGTGAGAGCCCACCTCTTGCATCACCGTGCCCTGGATGTGAGATGTGGAGTCAAAGATGATCATTTTGGAACTTTAATGTTTAATGACTGCCCTATTAGATTTCAGATTTGCATGGGTCCTATAACCCCTTTGTTTTGGCCAATTTCTCCCATTTGGAGTGGGTGTATTTACCCAATGCCTGTACCCCATTGTATCTAGGAAGTAACTAACTTCTTTTGATTTTACAGGCTCATAGGTGGGAGGGACTCTCCTTGTCTCAGATGAAACTTTGGACTTGGAATTTTGAGTTAATGCTGGAATGAGTTAAGACTTTGGGGGACTATTGGAAGGGCATGATTGTGTTTTGAAATGTTGAGGACATGAGATTTGGGAGGGACCAGTGGCAGAATGATATGGTTTGGCTGTGCCACCACCCAAATCTGATCTTGAATTTTAGTTCCCATAATCCCCACATTTCATGGGAGGGATCCATCAGGAGGTAATTTAATCATGGGGGTGGTTACCCTCATGGTGTTCTCATGATAGTGAGTGAGTTCTCACAAGATCTGAAGTTTTTGTAAGGAGCTTTTCCCCTCTTTGCTTGGCACTTCTCCTTGCTGCCACCATGTGAAGAAGGATGTGTTTTCTTTTACTTCCACCATGACTGTAAGTTTCCTGAGGCTTCCCCAGCCCTGCAGAACTGTAAGCCAATTAAACCCCTTTCCTTTATAAATTACTCATTCTCAGGTATTTATTAGCAGTGTGAGAATGGACTAATAAATACAATTACCTTGGGTAATATTGACATTTTAACAATACTAATTCTTCCAATCTATGTACACAGGATAGCTTTCCATTCAATTAGGCCTTCTTAATTTTCTTTTATCACTGTTTTATAGTTTGCATTGTCCATATTTTTATTTCTTTGGTTAAATTTATTCTGAAGTATTTTATTTTTCTGATGCTATTGTAAATGAGATTTTTAAAATTTCAATTTAGGGTAGTTCATTGTTAGTGTATAGAAACACTACTGATTTTTGCATGTTGATTTTGTATTCTGCAACTTTATTAAATTTGTTTATTAGTTTCAACTCTTTTTTGGTGGAATCCTTAGGGTTTTTATGTTATCTACAAACAGAGACAATTTAATTTCTTTCTGATTTGATTGCATTTTTTTGTTTGTTTGTGGTTTTGTTTTTGTTTTTGCCTAATGCACTGATGAGGACTTTCTGTACTGTATCAAATAGAAATGGTGAAAATGGGCATCCTTGTCTTGGTCCTCATCTTAAACACAGTTGACTGGGATGTTAACTGTGGGCTTGTCATATATGGCCATTTTTATTATGATTATATATGGCATTATGTTAAGGTACATTCCTTCTATACCTAATTTTTGGGGAGTTTTTATTATAAAAGTATGTTGAATTTTATCAAATGCTTTTTCTGCATCTATTGAGATGATAATATGAATTTATCCTTTATTCTCTTAGTGTAGTGTATCACATTAATTGATTTTCACATGGTGAACCATCCTTGAATCCTAAGGATAAATCCTACTTGACCATGATGTATGATTATTTTAATGTGCTACTGAATTTGTTTTATCGGTATTTTGTTGAAGATTTTTGCAACAATATTCATCGGGAAAATTAACTTGTAATTGTTTTCACATTATAAAAGCTTTCATTTCTGATTTCTTTTAAATAAAAATAAACTCTTATAGACCATTTATTCCTTTATTGAAATGATAAAAATAAACCACAAATTATATAAAATTAGTAGCCTCTCTCACTTAGCATGTGAGTGAATATAAAATAGAATTAAAATTCCACTGGATAAAACAAATCTGATTTTTACAAATGTACTTTATAGATGACCTGAGACTTTTTTTTGTTATTGTAAGTAAAAACTATAAAATAACTTAAAGGTGTCTTCAAAATTCAGCTTGTGAGAACTCAACAGTCTGCCATGTTCCCTGATTCAAGGCTGCCATATTCCCTGCCTCGGGGCTGCTTACCCGAAACAAATTATGATCACATTCTATACTGCTTATAAATAAGTCAAAATTCATTTTATTACTATGACAAGAGCAACCTTCTACGATTAGCCAAAGTCTTATGAAGCCAGACTATTTTAATATTTGGACAAAACTTGTCAAACACATTAGAAAAACATGAATGTGTTCTATAACTAAGCCCAAAACCTTTATGCATGGGGTATTTCCATAAGTCTATCCCCTAAAATATAGTTAATTTAGAGTGGCTTTGCTTTACAACATGAAACAGATTGTGTCTTATATATTATAGCTCAGCTCAGTTAGTCCTAGCAATTTGAAAGCATGTAACAGAGAAAAATAAATTAAGCTTTTTTAAAACTGGGAAACAAGTTAGAGCCTCCAGTGTAAAGTTTATAAAATAAACTACAATTTGAAAAGAAAAATAACTTCAATCTTGGAGTTTGCCAGTAAAATCCTTTTGGATTTATATCTTACTTTTACAGTTATTATTTATGTGTTTTTGCAAAAACAAAAAATGAAAAGGGCAAAGTTAAATTCTTGAAAGATGGAGAAGAATGAATGGCAACAATAATAAAAAGAGGAGGAAAATAGGCTAGACAGAGCTGTCTCTCTCTGGTCCTTCTGCCAGAGAGAATGAATTTTAACATGAAACTTTGTGGGAGCAGGACAGAACTTGAATTTTTAAAACTTAGATCGCTGAATATTTTGTATCTAGTTTTTTGTCATTAAATTCTGAAAGCCATTCCCTAATACTGAGCACTTTATTTCACCTTTAGGACAAATATTAGCCTCAAGAAGGCTAGGAACCAAAATTATGCTGCCTCTTCAGGGTGACACTGAGCAAATGCCTTTCTTAGTTTTCAATGGATGTGAGATGGGGCAATAATACCTAGCTTGTAAGGATGTTTTTATATAAGCTGATGATTGTACAACACTATATAAGTGCTAATTGACCTGTATTTGTGTTAAAGATTTTGTAGTTATAACTGCATCTTGCCAGGTATAACTACAAGGCCTTTTTTTTTTTCATAGTTTTTAATGAGTATTCGTTCACTACCCCTCTGGAAAGTAGGTTGGAGTTATGAGCATGATGAGTGGAGGTAAAATGTGGCTATTTTAACCTGATTTTGAGAAGTATTTCACTACTACTCATATAGGCTGTGCTTACAGCACTACTAAAACACATTAACATTATACTTGTGACTATAAAGCCTAATGCCTAGAATGAGTTTAATATTTTGACTACAAAGAGACCTGATGAAATTCCAAATGAGATGTAATGAAGTCTTAGTTTTTCAGGCCATGAAATATCACCAATTAATAAACATAAATGATGAAATCACTCCACTTATAAATAGCAAATATAATATTTCCATGTCCCAGAGTGATGTGATGGCTATTTGGAGGCATAAAAAATTGTTAATGTTTGTAAATGTCTTAACATTTTTGGCTGAAAGCAAAATGTAGTGTTCCATACCTAAAGTAATATGTGGAATTTTTAAAACAAACAATTGTGGTATGTTTTAAAAAGTGTTTAAAAATAGATATTCCAGTGAATTTTGGTATACACTAATCAATAATAAAAAACAATTTTCCTCATAAACAAGAAAAATATTTGGAACTTTCTTAAAGACTCTTAATAGAAAGAAAAATTTTGACTAGTAATTCGTATTTGGCAATCTGCCAAATAATAATTTTGTTTCGATCTGTCTGGGCAGCAGTAAACTTGTTTCTCAAGAAGATAATTAAAAATAATAGGAAAAATGCAATCTGTAGGAGTTACTATAGACACTTGTAGCCAAAATATAGAGTTATAGGGTATGATCATTAAATACACTTCTGAATAATGAAGGTGTGTTCCAAAACTCCTTTTTAATGTCTTTGGTTTTGAAACTTGCCCTGTCTTCCATGTCTCTACGTGTTCCCTCCTGCCTTGGTACAAGGGACAGGTAAGAGGAGTTTTGTGCCATCTGAGTAGCAGGTCACACAGCTAGTCTAAAATCACTTCAATCTGATTTATTGATATCGCTTAGTGTTATTGATCCAAAATAAATTGCTCCAAGTTCACATCTGCTAGATTAACATATTTCTCTACTGCTGTCAGCTAAAAATGTACTTTTATGTAAGCACCTGTACATTTTCCACGAAATACATTCATGTTCTTTCAGCACTTACATAGCATAAAGTAATATATTATTCACGCGTTCCTCCCTTCTACATTATGAGTCAATTCTATGTATTTTTATCTTCTGTTTCATCAGCGATTCCCTTGCATTTAAAAATGTTCGTGAACTGCAAACTACATAGTTTATTTTTCTTGCAAATTAGGAGTCCCTGCAAATGTTCTGCTTGAGGAAAAAACACCACCATTGGAATGAGCAGGAGAACTTAAACCAACTGGGACTTGACATATTAAATGTAAACATAGCTTAGGTAGATAGATAGATAGATATAGCAAATTACACCTTTCCTTGGTTAACACATCTAAAGTTCTTGAAGCTATGGTTTCAAAACCTATGATATTTTCTTCTTAAGTGCAGGAATGCTGGAAAATTAAAAACTTAAAAACTAGTGTGTGTACAATTTACTGGATACCAACAATCATGAAATTGTTTCTTTAGAATTCCAAGTATATATACATATATATATATGCGCACACATATAATTAAAATCTATTTTATTTGTCCATTTATTTATTTATGAAATAAATATTATGAATACAAAATTACTTTGAGGGAAAAGTACCTCTTTAGATACTGAAAGATAAATACTAAAATTAATCCCAACTCAACATATATAATTTTATGTATTATATTATTATTAATATGTATTATATTAGCTATATGGTTTATGTATAAAAGACCTTGCCAAGCTATTCAGATATTTACCTTATTAAATACTTATTTAAAATATTTAATAAATATTTTCTTAAATATATGTATTCATTTATATTATGAATTAGAGATAGAAGACATGTATGAACTTGTTTTTTCTTCCAGTTTAACAGAATACTAACCCATATTTCAGTTCTCCATATTGATAGCCAATACACACTAAAAACACACCAATTATCTAATGGGGCAATTGCATGGTTCCATAAGTTATCAAGAAGTAGCTTGGCAAGAGGAAAGAAGATTACAGATAGCCTCTGTAATTTTTTGTTTAGCAGCTTTGCACAAAGTTGTTTTGGGAACCTAGTTGATTAGTAGGTGGACATAAAAACATGATTTCACTAAAAGAAAATCCATGTCTCCTTTCAAATCTACTGATGTTTTCTGTAATTATAGAATAGAAGCTTTTTTATTTGTGAAGCCAATATTTTGGAAGGGTATGATTAAATCAGGAGAAGCAGGTCTATATTAACGAACACTGGGGTTTTCTATCTTCTATTCTTTCCTTTCCTTTTCTTTTCTTTTTATTCCTTTTCTTTCATTTGTTCTCCTTTCTTTCTTTTTTCTTTTTACTTCTCCTAGACAGGCAAATTCAAAGAGCATCAGTAGCTAACAAGTTCCCAAATACTCTACAAGTAGTCAGTACTAATGATTACACTACCAAGATTCCAGTGATTTAGTGGTTCATTGCTAATCTCACTCTTACACTCTCTACATGGCTTAGTTCCATCCCATGACTTGAGTTACTCTTTCATCCAATGACAGCACCACTCACTGCATTATGTTGCCAATTACAGCAGAATTTTATAGCTGAGATAAAAGCCAAAACTTTCTAGTTTAGATCTCAAATTTTCCTAGTCCACAATTGTGGTTCTGAGAGAGTAAAAAAAGTTTGAAGGTGGAATGAGAATACATTTTGATGATTTCAATGTCTGAAGTGATGAAGTTTTGAAGCTCTGTTGTGTCTCCTACTATCTGTGACACTCCGGATGTGTTTCTAAAGTTCTCTAAACCTCAGTGACTCTATGCGAATAAAAGAAAATCATGGAGGGGGGATAAAGTATCTGACACACGATGGATCAGCAAATGTGTGGCTATTATAATTTTTAATCGAAAGGGCTATGTTCCTATGAAGTGACAGAATTGTGATAATTCAGGCTTCTTGACTTTTTAGTACATAATTCTTTCATTATTCCATATTCTCTCATATTTGTCTGGAAGTAGGGAATCCTGTAATAATGTACACTTGCAATTGCCAAATGAGAGGTGTAGTTTTGGTTCACGGCAAGCCTCAAAAATACTAGCATATAAAAATATTTTAATATGTTTATTAGGGAACGCCAACAGATACAGATTTTAAAAATGTGAAGACAGCTTACAAAGTAACATATAAAAATATGGGGAAAATATTATAATTTATTTCAATACTGCAGATTTGAAAATACTTTGTGAATAATGTTTGCACTAAGAAGAATTTCTTTAAATTAGCAACTGGATTTTCTTGCATTTTTAAAGCAGTATTTCCTTAAGAAAAAAGCAGGCTTAGTTTCTCTGTGACACAGAAAATTCCTATCATTTTCACTTTGTTCCAAAATTATATTAATGGAGTTTTTGTCATGGGAATAAATTAAAATGGGGCATACCGCATGTGGAACGTGATGGTATTTCTGCAGCATGCGATTTACAAGAAAACAATCTCATTTAGATCATATCACTGACCGCGTGGCCGACACGGGGGACCACCTGGGGCCCATGTGGAACCTCTCCACGCAAATGGGTTCATTCAGTAAGAAACATGTGATTTTTAAGAGATTTCATTTAGAATTCTTCAGAACAAGTTTATGAAAGGATCACTTATATTTAGATTAGAATGGGCTATTTCTTGCAGCTGTGCAAATTTCACATTGTATTTAAGTCCTGGAGATTTCTGACAGAAACGTAAGTTGAATGACAGTGACAGAGAAAGAGGCACCTTAGCAAAAAGAGCCGAAATCATGACCTTTACATTTAAAAATATCTAAGTTTTAGGACCTTCCTGCATAACCCTGCTGCTCTTAGATGTGTGACTTTCCAATATAAAGAATAAAATATACCATTATATAAAGCTTTCATGATCGTGCCCTTTTATCATCAATTTTAATCTACTTGTAAACTAACAAGAGCAATAAGAATGTATCTAAAAACAAATCACAGAATCAAACAAACCAAATTCAGATACAATAATATGCTGGCAATATTAAAATATCAGAATTGGCATCGAAGTATTTATTTATTTTTAAGGAACTTATAAATGTAAAAAGAGTAGGACATACATTTTTGAAATGTTTCTAGGATTTGGAAGATTGCTTTAGTTTTTATTGTAGGCACTTTCCCATAGCAATTCAAATTGTGCTCTAAATCTACATACATCAAACCAAAACATATCCAAAAAAAAAAAAAAAACTGGCCTATGCAATGCACCCATAAATTAGAATCTCCCAAAATGTGTCTTCTCTCAGGATACTAAGGACAAGGATAGTGAGTAAACCAAAGAAACTTTTTTTTCTGTATAGTATTTAATTAAATCAACTGGAAAATGTTGGTAATGAAAAAGTTTTGAAATCACTTATTTATCATTTATTATAAATTCCTAAATACATTATAGAAGTGATGGATTGTACATTGGAAGAAAGAAAGAAGGAAAGAGCACATGATAAAGAAAATTTTGAGTAGCATTACTGTATTCAACAAGTTTCAAGCTGATTGTTTCTCTGGCTTGTGAAATTTATGCTTTTAGCTTATAATGTTCCAAAGGAAATAAAACCACCCACTGGATGTAAGTCAATATCATTATCTCTTCCATTTTTCTGTTTTGCCATCCAAGTTTTTTTTTTTAATTCACAATTTTACAAAATAAAAAGAGAGTCTTTAAGGCCCAACAATCAGGAGACCCTCAAGAGTACAGAAGAGCTGAAGAGGAGGCCAAAGGGAGGTGGAGAAGGGAAGATATAACACATTCTCAGGATAAATCTGCTAGGAAATCTCACAAGTAAGGCATTCAGCCAACTGCCATATGCCCTGACAAAGATACCAACAGCAGCAGTGAGCCCAGGGAGCTGTTTTATCATTAGCCCCTCACCCAGCAGTGGTAGAAACTCATTTAGCCCCATGCTGGACTTTCATTAGGCCAGACTCGCATCAGATGGTCCCATGCTTTGGCTCAGGAGCGGTGTGGCCCTTTATTGGGGGAGGCAGCCACATCTCAGCTCAGCAGGGAGCCCAGATTGGAGTGTTCCTCGCTGACAGATGCCAGGGCCTCAGCGGAGGACCCAGTGGCCAAGGGAGCCTGATGCAAAGCTATCTTTTATGTTGGCATTTTGTGGGCCAAAGCCTATGGAAAAGGAAAAATAATAATCCTAAAGCTTTCAAGTTTGTCTTTAACCTGACTTCCACTGAAAATAAGATAGAGTGAAAAAGAAAATCCACAAAGCTGAAAGCAAAGAGAAAATGCCAAAAATCTTCACTTGGAATCACAACAAAGAGCTGAGCTGACACTGACAATCGTTTGTTGTTTTTTTTTTTCCTCCGGACTGTAATAAAAAGTCAACGAAGCAAGGGATGTCAATATATTCTAATAACAAAGATGTGAAATTTTAGAGGGCCCTTTTCCTTCTTCTTCATAGGGAAGCTTTAAAATATGCAGAAAGAGAGAGCAAGTATCCAAGTCTAATAGATGCATATAGGAAAGATATGTTTCTTAAAAAAAAACAAAAACTAAAACTTACATCATAGCAGTGATACACACTGTGGTTTTGGGGAGAAAGGAATTTAAAAATTCAATTTGTGTTTATTTCTTCTAAATTTATAATTCCATCAAGAATTATAGACAAAAGAAGAAAGCCAGCTGATGCTTTTTTTCTATCAGCCTTTTTCAGGAGGAAAAAATTGTGTTCAATATTTTAATCCCTGATCGTTTAAAAAATTATATTACTATGCTTTATTATCTGAAAGCTTTTTAGAACTATATAAGAACCCAAAATGTATCTTTCTGTTCATTTTTTAGGTGTCCATGAATTATAGAATAAACAACAGATGATCTAGGAGAAACAGAAAGCATTTTTATTCTTTTATTTCATGCATTTAATTGGGTTGTTTTTATACCAATTACAAATGCCATTACTTTATATATAAAGTTTTCATATCAATATGATATACTAAAGAATACTTTTTAAATGCAAGTTATATTTACTAACTCTTCTGAAAATGTGTATTTCAATTTATATAAAAGCAGCAGATTGAAAGGCAAAGAAAAGCAGAATGAACCCTCCTAATATACAGTATTTTCTATGGAAATTTATTTATTGTATATTTAGAAGATTTCAATAAAACATTAGCAAATTACATAACAATCTAAAATACCTGTGATATTCTGAACTCTGAATGTTGGTTGACAGATCAGGAAAAAAAATACTAGTCAGTTTCTCATCTTTTCAAAGATGAGTCTCTAGTTATTGTAAAGTATTCTAGTCTCCTTCTTCATCTTCTCTTGGATGAAGTTTGCAGATATCTTTAGGTCAATGGACCATAGGGAGCTTTCTTGGTGCAGTGAAGCCCTTTATAGTACATTTCTCTCCAGGCATCTCTATTCCTGTTTGTCAATGACATGTGGCTTATCATCCACTTAATCATCCTGGTTTATGTCAATTTACAGGCATGTTAGGGAGCCTCACTGCAGATGGTTTCTTTTACTGAATTTTTAAAAATGAACTTTTGGTATTTCTGTATACTCTTTTATTTTATTTAAATAGTAATATTATTTGAAAGAGAAAATCTTTTTGTTTACTAAGAACTAATGGTGCAAAAATATTGCAAAATTCTTTTTAAAAGAAAACAGACAATAAGCAACTATAGACCAATAACCCAAACAAAAAATAAATAAGAAGCTGAAATTATTGCAGTATCATTGACATTTTGAGACTGGCTCTCTCTGGCTTTTAATTTTAGAAGTAGAGCTAGTGTAGGTATGTATGAAGGTGTGTGTGTGCGTGTGTGTGTGTGTGTGAAAATAATTACCAGTGACCTACAGTAACAGTCCTTCCCGCCTAGATGTTTCAGCTGCATTTGACGTCGTTATTGCCTGAGACAACAGTCTGGCTGCGATGTTAACAAACTGGGCCAAGCCTCTTTGATGCACCACAGGTATTAGAAAGTTGAGCACTCACGTAAGCCCTCGAGCAGGTGGGCTGTGTTGAAGCGCCACCTACTGAAACATCGTGTTTCCCAATCCTGCATTCCCAAAGTTGTCATTTACTACAGCATTGGCAAAACTGGTTCAGGGGAAAAAATTCCAGTACAAATGAAATCCTATTTTTGGCAAGCAGGACTCTATAAGTGTGTCAGCTTCCAACTTTACTGATTACAGCAGTTTGTCTATGCTGATGCATTTTTGATCTCTCTTTTCTAAGTAAGAATATAGACCAAAAGGAATACCAGCTTGCATGTTCATAAATTGGGTCATTGATGAGTGTAGGAAAAGAAGGGAGAGGAAGGAAGAGGACCGGGCAGTGTTCAATGCAATTTACACATTTGCAAGATTTTTTTTCATAATAAAATAGATCTGAGTAAAAAATGTCATACAATCTCATACACTCACACGTGCACCTACATAAATCTCTAACGGATTATATTCATCCTAAGGGAGGTGATTAAAATAACACCCAAATTGACATCTGTATGCACATTCCCCTATTGTTGCCAACCTACTCTCTATTATTAAAAAAAAAAAAAGAAAAAAGTGTTCAGGAGGAACTGAATATTCTATCTCACTTTATAAGTGAGAATAAGAATGCTGTCCAGCCACATTGCAAGAGGTAACACTAGCTCATGACAGACAGGACAAGCTTTAATAACTGATCTTGAGATTGGTTGAGATGTTGTTAGGTTTTAAAACAGAATGGCATGTTACATATCATGGACATTGAGAAAACAAAATGATTTTCTTTCTAAAACAATTTCTTAAAAATATAATGTAGCGTTTCTTCTACATAGCAGGCTTGCCCTTGGTGGGGAAAGCCATTTATGGTGACAGCATAAGGATTTCTATTTGTAGAATTTAGGGGAAGAGATTATTGGGTTTTTCGACTCCATTTTTAAAGTTATTCAAGTAGTAAATCCATTCTTCATGGAAATATAGACTATTTAAATAATATACCAAAGGCTAATTCTGACAGTGCTAATATAATTTTCTGAATCAAGGTCATTTGTTTTACACACACACACACATATATATATACACATATAAACTATATATATAAACTATACATATAAACTATATATATAAACTATATATATAAAGTATATATGGTGCAAAAATATTGCAAAATTCTTTTTAAAAGAAAACAAATAGACATGCATAGAAGCAACTATAAACCAATAACCCAAACAAAAAATAATATATGTAATTTATATATATATTTATTTATTTATTTAAACAATGAAAGTAAAAGTTCCCAGGCCTGATATATTCTTAAAGTTCTCTTTGGTAAATATATATTTGTATGCTATAAATAAGAGCTGTGCAGAAGTCTATATAAGTAGAAAAGTCATTTATATACTTAACTACTGTAGCAACACATTTACATAGGCTCCCTCTAAGACTGCAATGTTTTATTACGTTGACTTTTAGACTCATAAACTTCCAAAGGTAATACCCCCTATAACACTTATCTTTTTCCAAAACAACCACTGGCCTTTCATTACATAGAAAGCTTAATTGTCAAAGTCACAATTAAATCCTATTAAGGGATTGGTTTAAAGCCACAAAGGAGTAAAACAAATTTGAGAAAGCGGCTTAATCCTCTTCCTCAACTATGAACCATTAGGCATTGTGTTTTTAATGTAAAAAGAACTTGGAATTTAGATCCAAAATAGTTATTCACATATAATATTTTAGGTATTGCTCTAATTTATTTTTAGGCCATTGTTCTTAGTCAGAATTAAAAGCTGCACCCTTGGGAATTATAACCCTGGCAAGAAGTGGGGCTGGCTTTTGTGGCCTCCACTAACTCATTTGATCAAAAAGAATGGGAATTCTTTCCCTATCATCCATAAAATGTGGGTCATAGTAACTACTTTTTCTCCCGGAAAAGCTATGGAAATAATAACCTTAAATCATCAAGATTTTCAAAGAGAGACATTATTTCAAAATCAAAATTTCAAAACTTTCCTGAAAATGCAAATTAAATTTTAAGCTTAATTAATCCAAATTTGTACGTGGAAATACATACCAACATGTATGCTAACATGCTCTTATAAAAAGGTCAGCCTCAGAAACAATTCTTTTACTAGTTTATGAAAAAGACCAACTTAGAACTGGTGCCAGAGTCAGCATTCCACATTATTAAAAAGCAAATTTAAGGATAGGGTTTATTACAGGCAAGTCTTCATTCTATGATGGAATTTTATTTTAAAGGTTTTTAAATATCTACCAGAATAGAAAAGGAAAATATGGGCATTAAACACCTGCAGCCCCGAAAAGCAGACCATTTCACTCAACAGAAAGAAAAGAATGAATCCACCTAAGAGGAAACTTTTTCTCACTTTATGGAAGCATGTGCTCTTCAAATCTGCCCTTGCAAAAGAGCATAGTGATCAAAATACGCACATGCTTCAGGTCGTAACAACTAACACCTAAAATAACAAAACACAGACGCACAAATAGAATCATGAACATATTGATAAAATGGATTAGACTTCATCATCTTCTACTGTGTCCCAAACAAAATATCACTCATTCATGAATTCAGCCCCAAGGCAGAATCTGAGTAAATAAATGGGCCTTGCCCCATGCTCCAGGGTCACCACACTCTGGTTTGGCTTGCTCAATGGAGAGCAAATTCCAAAGTGGAGAGCACTCTGCCTGATGACACCCAGTTTCAGCCTGAAGACTATTAGCAATCCAAGGTAGCTGGTGCTTTGAGGTCATACACCACAGACACGCAATTTGGAAATAAAATAAGTGCCTAAACCAGTCTATCTAGTAGATACGCGAGGGTGCATTTAGGTGGTTCTTTTCACCTTTAGACAATTATTTAAAATAAGAGTGCTTTCTTTACAAGTCTCAAAGTTGGCTTAATCTTTATACTTTGCTAAAAAATCAGTATGTAATCAAGTCCTCTAAGGAATGGTTCTAATTTAATGTATTCTGGATTTCATTTAAAGAAATCTGGAAGGACTTTCAAAGCACTGCAACTTTTTCAGAGCAAATGAAAAGTATGTCTTAAATGGTATTTGGCAGTTAACATCCCCCTAATGACACCATTGCTAAGTTGTTTGAAAACTATGATTCCCATTGTCTGGACAGAAGTGCCCACTTTTCTCTCTAAGAATGTCCTATTAAGTTTAGTGAAACAATGCTAGGACTTAAGTCCATGGTGTGCAATGTGGCCCAAGTATTAAGCATTCAAGAACGCACAGAAAATACAGAGTAAGATGGCACAGATCAAACCTAATTATGTATGCATGCACATATTTTCTATATACAAAATAAATACTTAAAAGTTAATAACTAGAAAATAGCAAATGTCTTCTAGATATTTAAATCCAGAGATTTCTGATTAAAAATTTCATGTTGCATATATAACTGTATTACATGGTTTCTAAGCCTGGTGCACAGGCTGGATTATCCTATACTCTACTGGTTGAAGAATCTTGATATAAATAATTTTATTCTCATATTTTCCAGTCATGAAAATTTACATCTTATAATAAAATCATAAATATTTGTCTTCCAAGAGCAAACAGATTGCTCTCTATACATCTAATTTTTCCTATATTCTCTACCAATAAGATTTTAATAAGAAATATTACCACTTACTTACCCTCCCAAATACTTGCAAATTATTTTCTTTATAAAATTATAATATATATATATAGTTAATTAAAAACTGAGACTTCCATACCTACAAGTTAAGAAAAAAAAGTTCTGTAACTATTCAGACTATTACTCACTCAAAATACTGTATATATAAAAAGAAAAACATGTTGAAAAGTTGATAATTAACTCAAATAAAAATCAATGTGACATTCGTTTGTAGTTATTCATATCATTTTTCTAAACTTCAAAGCAGCAGCAGCATCTAAATGTTTGCCCAAAGTTCCCAATTTTGGCTTTAACTGTAGCTATTTAGCTTGTAAAGCACAACGCTGGCCTAATTTCCAAGCTTTAGACCTTATTAGTGAACAAATTTCTATATTTAGAACCTCATATTACACTTGATTCTTCACATACCTGATTTTTAGTGCCAAGCTCCTGATTTAGGTTCCTAAATGCATATTTCAAGCTGCCAACTACTTCTTGTCATAATAGGATTAAGTTGTCTATTGTAGATCATAAAATAGATAAGATATGCCAAAACTGTTTATACAAAACTTTAAGACCATGAGCTAGTAGAGTTTCATTCACATTATTATCATAATCCTACAAAAACCTTAAAGTCATCATTAGTAATTGGTTAGGTTCATAAATTAGGTTACTAAATTAGCAGATCCAAAATAATACCAATGATTCCTTTTTCTTAAATTAAGAAAACTTGTATTTATAATAATTCTGCTAGATTTTCAGCATAAAAATTGGCCACCACCCAAGTTATCTGATATCTAAATATTTTACTTATGTAATGCTAGGACTAAAGGTAAGCTTTGGAAACAGCAAGCTCATTCTTTCATTTTATAGATGAGGTCAAGAAGCTCCTGATCACACAGAGAACTCAAGATTTCTGGTTTCTGGTGTAGACAGCTTGCTGCTACCTTTCCTGCATTTAACTCAAAGCTGAATAAATAATAATATCTTCTGGTGGAGTTCTCTAATAGAACTACATTCAAGAATTGTTGATCTATTTATACTAAAACTCAACTCTTTTCAAATCTGGATATAAGTCCATTTGAGAAATAAATAACTTCTGCATATGTTGACAGATTACGTGCCAGTGGCTTTGAGAGTAGAAAGAAAGAGTGGTTATGATAACCAAATGAAGCTTTCTATTCTCTTCCACGTTATGCCTGCTCCTGAGCCCCTTACTTTGTGTTGGTCATCTGGTTTGTCTATGGAAACAGC
The DNA here is from genome assembly GCF_000001405.40 of Homo sapiens. Taxonomy (NCBI): domain Eukaryota; kingdom Metazoa; phylum Chordata; class Mammalia; order Primates; family Hominidae; genus Homo; species Homo sapiens. The sequence goes on along the minus strand of NC_000006.12, from coordinate 9,246,102 downwards.
AGGCCTGCTGGTATTTTTATGCTCAGATCAAAATTACCCAGGGACAAAAATGCCCAACAGGGAGACACTTTTTGCCAGATTAGATCATTGGAGGTGTTGTCTTCACTAAGAAAAGGTGCAGGGGGGATCATGGGAAGAGACGCATTGGATGCATCTGATTCAAAAAAGTGCCTGAGACCAAGAGGACTAAGGTATCCAAGGCAAACCAAAGTCAAATTGAACGCTCTTTTACCTCTCTTCTTCCGCCCTTTCATTCTCATCAATTCATAGAAATGTAATTCTCCCTGGGCCACATCATCTTTGCTGTGGCACTTCGGTCCCTATCCCATTACTATCCTGAAACAGCTTGCTCCTTGCTTTGTTTCTACCCTTCTCTGATTCTGAAAAGGACAGAAAAGAGAACTATCTAGATGTCACTCAAAACCATATTGAATTCCTTAAATAGAATCAACATGGGAAGCACCTTCACCTAAAGCACATGTGTTCCCCAACATCAGAGAATTCATGGGGGAAAACAAAGGGAATGGCCTCCCCGAGGATTTATCCCCAACACCACATCAGAGAGACAATGAATGTGACAGATTAAATGCACCGGCTTCTTCAGTTAGAGTTGTTTTTGCTTTGGCATGAGAAAACTGAAAGTTCTTGAATGTTACGGAATATCTCCTATGTCAAGCCTTCCCTTGTTTTCCCAAGGACATAAAAGTTTCCCTCGCCTCTTTCCTTCTAAAAAATAGGTCTTTTCAGGCTGGGTGCAGTGGCTCACACCTGTAATCCCCACACTTTGGGAGGCTAAGGCAGGTGGATCACTTGAGGTCAGGAGTTTGAGACCTGTCTGGCCAACATGGTGAAACCTCATCTCTACTAAAAATACAAAAATTAGTCAGGCATGATGGCACATGCCTGTAATCCCAGCTATTTGGGAGGCCGAGGCAGGAGAATCACTTGAACTCGGGAGGCAGAGGTTGCAGTGAGCCAAGATCATGCCATTGCACTCCAGCCTGGGCGACAGAGTGAGACTCCGTCTAAAAAAGAAAAGAAAAGAAAAAAAAATAGGACTTTTCCATCTATCAGGCACTGACTACATTGTCCTGTAATTAGTAACTTATGAGCCTGCCCCTAGCACCCCACCAAGCTGACAGATAATTGAGAGGAGAGCCCATGATATCTCCATCTTTCTGTGTAGTTCAGGATCTGTGTACCTGGAACATACACCTTCTCCCTGGCCAAACCCCATGGGGAATGCGTGTTCATCTTGAGAGATTCACCTCCTTCATCTGGTGTGTCTATGTCTGTGTGTTCCCATTCGCATGTCCTAAGCAGATTCAACCACATTACAACCTGCCCTGTGTGATATTTCAGCCTTTGCAAAAACTATTTAATATGGAGCCTGGCACATACTAAACATAATTATAATCTAGAATTAAGCAAGCAGTATCCTGAAATAGTTTCTAGATTTTTTTTAACTCCTCATTTAATTATCTTGGTGTATTTCCTATCGAACTTAATGGGTATTCAGTAAAACTGAACAAAAACCAAATTCAGTTGGGTGCTCTCTTATTAATGCTTTTATTCTCCCAAGAACTAAGAAGAAAAATGAATATTCTAAATTTGAGAGAAGAAAAATATATTTAGGAAATTATAAAAATGGAAATTACACTTTTACCTATTATTTTTGTCATTGTTTATCATTGTTACCTACTAAAATGTTAAAAATAGATGTTAAAGAATTAGCAGTTACAGAGGGTCTTTGCTATTGAAACAGTCTTCACTCCATAATAATTAAAAATAAAAAATTAAACATAATAAAAGTTGACTTTTTAAAAAAGACATTCTCTGACCAGTCACTTTAATGAAAATATTTGAGATTAATTTGAAACAGAGTAGCAATTTTCTTATCTCTTGATATGCAGAGATCTGAATGCTTTACATGATGAAGATACATGATATCCTACTTACAAAGAGGACATGTCCTGTAAAGCTGCCTAAAGCACATTTATTTGGCAAACATTTACACTGGGTTTACTATATTCTAGGAATAATTCTGAGCTTGCTACCGATCAATAATCTAAATAGTATCATTAACTCCATTTCACAGTTGAGGAAACAGAGGCACATAGTTGAGTAATGTCCACGGTTCCATAGTAAGTGGCAGAGTTGGAATTACAATCTAGGCATTCCGACCACAAAGTTTATGCCATTGTGCTGCACGAGAACTAGACAATGACAAATAAGGACTCTACGTGCCCATGGGCTTACCTTACCTGTGTGATAGAAGTATGTCTTAGAGGGGAAAAATGTCTCAGTCTGAGTTTAAAACATTGATTAAAGAGATGAACTTACTTTGTGGCAAACAATGTTTTACAAGTGCTTATCTACAGCAGCAATTGCTATCCCATAAAATACTATCTCTTTTTATGGTTAGAACATACAGTTAAAAACCTGCTGGGCACCTCAACTTGGCAAAACCACATACAACTTAGTTAATAAGCCTAACCAAAGCTCATTGTCACTGCCCTATCAATGTTTGGTAGAGCCTCAAGCACTCCTCCAGGTACTCAGTGCAAACTTCAGAACATGCCTTTTGTTCTTACTCCCTTCTCCTTCGCCAGCCCCAGGTGCACTTGGTCACCCAACCCTGTGAATTTGGCTTCCTTACCATCCTTCAGCTCCATTCTCCTCTTCATCCTCATTGCTGCAACCTTATCCTAGCTTCCAAGTTCTCTCCTGGGCAACTGCCATGGTCACCCCATGGTCTGCCAATTTCCAAGCTTTCTTCACTCATCCCAGTTCATCCTCCATACAGCTGCAGCAGCAGGTGAACTTTCCAAAAAGCAAATTTAATTATTCTGATTCTCTTCTGTGTTGCCATCATCTTCATTCTTCCCCCATTGCCACCTGCCTATGATAAAGTGCAAACTCCCCAGGATGGAATAACGGCTATAAATGACTGTGGCTAGCCTTGCACTGTAAAATATGGTAGCCATTAGCCACAAGTACTTCGAGCACTTGAAATGTGGCTAGTCCAACAGAGTGTGCTTTAAGTGTAAAACATGTGCCAGATTCCAAAGACTTAGCATGAAAAAAGAATGTAAAATATCTCTTTTTTTATTTTGATCACATGTTGCAATGATATTTTGGATATATTGGGTTAAGCAAAATATATTATTTAAATTACCTTTTTTGTTTTCTTTTTTTTTTTTTGCCTTTTTTTAATGGGGCTACTAGAAAATTTCAAATTATGTATGTGGCTTGCATCAAGATTTCTATTAGATTGCATTGACTAACTGTGCTGAACTTCGAGTAGTTTCCAGGATCTACCAGTCTGCCCAGAATGCCCTCCTTCCACTTCTCCACTTCCACAACTTGCCCTGGTAAAGGTGAATTTGTCTTGAAACACTCAATTTCCCTACAAAACTCTTACTAACTTTAATGCTGTATGCAAGGGCCTTCACTGTGCAGCCACATGTGGGCGTCCAAATTTCCACAATCTACTCCTCCGGCACATGACCATCATCATCAGAGCAAATTCCTAACTAGTGTTTCCCATGTTCTAAGCACTGTTCTAAGTGCTTTACATTTATTCATTCAATCCTTATAAGAGCCCTCAAAGGAGGGCTCTAGTACCATTTAATCGCCATAGCAATCCTATGTGGTAGGTATTATTCTCATGCCATTTTACAGATGGGGCACAGAGATGTAAACTTCCTCGTCACTCACCCAGCTCTGGAAGGTGCTCCTAGAAATTCCACTCTACTGGCTGTCTAATTTTCAGCCAGTTATTGCTGCCTCCACTCCAATCTTCCCTGCCTCATGCTTTTGTTCATGCTGAACTTTTGCTTTTCTGAATTGTCACACTTCATTATCCAATACCAATTGCTTGCTAGCTTAATTATCCACCATCAATTGATAAAATGCCCATGACAGGAACGATCAAACCATCTTGTTCACTGAAATATCCTCAGTGCCTAACAGATGCCTGGCACATAGTCATCAGTCAATAAATACTTTTAAATTGAAAAACAAAGATTCCAGGCCTATTGTTTATCCTTCTGAATTGTATATAGGAACCGTAGAAATATAAGCAAGACATAAAAATAATAGTAATAATAATAACAATAGCGGCTGCCTAGCATTGAATGCCTGTTGTGACAGGTCATATGCATTTTTCTCAGATCTTCACTGCCCTGTGAGGTGGGCACCATTGTCCTCAGTCATAGATGAGAACACTCAAACCACAGTGCTTCTTGCTGGAGGAATCATAGCTGCCTAGAGCCTTTCAAAGTGTTCAAATCACGATTTGATCCTTTCTCTCCATCGTGAGGCTCTAGGAAACACTCCCTGAAACCAAAAGCCTACCAAGACTAGTTGGAAAGAGAATGAATTCTATCTTCACTAAAAGTACCAGAGTGCTGCTTTCATGAGGTAGAAAGCTGGCCCAAAGGGGGCACTGACCAGCTTGAAGTTTTCTTCTTCCTTCCGTAAGGCACCAGGATATGGGAAAGTGAGGTTGCCAAACACAAATGCTCCTTCCACTGCCTTGAGCAGGGTTGCCCTTCAGTTAGAGGATCAGTAACAGCAGAACCATGCATCTCTACTCAATTCCCCTGCCCGTAACCCCCAACTCTGCCCTTAACTCTCCCTGTAGCCACACAAACCCTTCAGATCTTCAGGAGGCCATATTTATTCAGACTTTAATAATTGAGCACTCCTCAAAGACTGTTTCTGTTTTCACTCAAATCTCTCCTAGGATTCAGGACTAAGCCCCTGCACTCTGAGGCTTTGCCTCATCAGGACTTGATGATGGGTGCCTTCTACAATTCCTGGAAAACACGGTCTCTCAACCACTGGTTCTCACCCTGGTTCCATGTACACAGACATGCTTAAACTATACAACGTTGCAATAGAGGCGGTAGCAGAGGGAGAGAATATCTTCTCTTCCTTCATATTGTCAAAGTGCCCACCCTGGTGCTGAGCATGCTTTTGCTGAGTCATTCATTTATTCAGCAAACATTTATTGTGATCCTACCATGAGCAAATGCATTAGACCATGAGACTTGGTGAAAATCAATATAAGTTCTTCATGGTTCTTGCTTTTAAGAACAAATATGCTGACACACAAATATCTAGAAGGTCTAGAAGAATGGCATACATTCTATGGAAAATGAACATACCAAGTCCTATAGTTTTCTTGTGGAAAAATGGGTGAGGGCTGATCAAGGAAATTTTAATGGAAGAGATGACAATGAAACTGAGCCTTGAAAATTGGATGGCAGCTTGCAGTGACTGGCAGAGATTTCTTATGGCCCCATTTGGTTACATCACATCCATTATTATTATTATTATTATCATTATTTTTTGAGACAGAGTCTCGCTCTGTCACCCAGGCTGGAGTACAGTGGCCCAATCTCGGCTCACTGCAAGCTCTGCCTCCCAGTTTCACGCCATTCTCCTGCTTCAGCCTCCTGAGTAGCTGGTACTACAAGTGACCACCACCACGCCCAGCTAATTTTTTTATATTTTTAGTAGAGATGGGGTTTCACCATGTTAGCCAGGCTGGTCTCGATCTCCTGACCTCGTGATCCACCCGTCTTGGCCTCCCAAAGTGCTGAGATTACAGGCGTGAGCCACGGTGCCCAGCCCATTATTTTTTTAAGATTATGTATTTATATAGATTTAATGATTATCTAAACTAAATATAAAACTGGCCTATTTGCCCATTGTATGATTTTGAATGCATTTCTAAAGCTTCAGAGTATCAATTAATTTAATAAATACTAGTTAAGGGGCTGTTAAGGTTTTGATAATTTAGGAAATCCAAATATAACCAAAAGAGAGTTTATATCTTCAAGGATTTTACAACCTAATGAGGCACTAGTAATAGTAACAGTTAAATATGCTGAGTAACTTCTATATGCCAGATATTGATCTAAACTTATTTTTGAATATTAATTCATATATAACCTGAATACAACCAATATTATTCCCAATGTACAGATGAGGAAACCGGGGCACAGAGCAGAATGACACAGATGTTTTATACAAACATAAAATGATTGGCATTACCATAGAGGTTTGATGCCATAGAGCAAGGAGGCCTAACATAAAGTCGGGGTTCTGAACCAATGGAAAAATGATGATTGATTGGTTTCTTTGTTCTGCTTATAGACTATGACTAGATAGTTATTAAGAGGAAACTATTAATTCCTTCTTCTTTTCTAATGCTAACATCTTCATTATGATGGGCCAGTAATATTTATATAAAAGTTTCACTTTTCTTAAAAGCATCACGTCTATCATTTAAAAACTATATTTGAAGCAGTAGATTTCTGCACCACCAAAAGTTGAAATAATATTCAAAATTTATTGAAGGTACATAAACATTATTTTAAATATACTTGCAAAATCATTTTAGGTATGTTTTTTGGATTACCTAAAATAATTACTTAACTCAAGCAGGTAGCTCAGATATTCAATGGTAAATAAAATCAAATACAATTCCAGGGATGGGCATAATTCTATTGACAGACAGGTCTGGGCCGAGGCAGAGAGCTGAGGGCAGCGTTTTGGCCCTGGAGTTGCCAGATACTCTTTTCACGATATTCTGCAAGCTTTGGAGGAGGCTGTGGTAGAGAGACTATAAGATATGAATTTAACTCCTGTATCCAAACCTATCAAAAAACCAGCAGAGAGATAAGCCATCTAATAAGGATAGAAACAGTAGGGGAAACAAATGTGACTTCCTATCTTCAGGGTGCTCTCTAGCTGATGATAAAGAAAATCATGGAAGTTTAGGAATTGTGGATCTAAAGTTGATTTATTAAACAGTCAGAAGATTTTTTGCACAATATACTAGCTATAAATGCATAAAAAACCTGCAGGACTTCTCTGGAAATGTTTCTGTATTGATTTCATTGTTGCTTGAGTCAGATATGGATGCTTTCCTTTTATGCAAAATGCTGATGTGCGCCAATTTGTGACTGGGTTCGTGCCTTCAGGAATTCTCTGTAGGGCATGTAAGTCACCATATTGTAACAGTTTGAAACTGGAAGAATCTCATTTTCCATTTCTTTTCACTTACTCAGCAACAAAAAACTAAAGGCCAATGACAACCCTTCTCTTCCCCACTCATCTCATCCAGAAAGAGAGAAAATACTTTAATTAATACTTTGACACACTGTATTCATTTTCTGGACTCTTTCACCTTTTGATTACTGCACTGCTCTCTCCCAATTCTTTCTAAAAACAAGTATTCTCTGGAGACCATTGTTTATTTAACATAAAATATTATCTTCTAAGGAAGGTAATCACTAGGTGATGGTCCTAACACATCTCAAATGACATCGGTTTGCAATGTCCCATATGCAGTGCTCAGCAGAGGGTTAAATAAAGCAGCAGGTTAACATTGGCTTTCAGATGAAACTTATAAAGCACATACAGATTTTCTTTTCAAGAAAGCCTTTTGCATTTTTCTTTTAGTTGTGTGCTTTTCATTTCCTGCACCTACATCAACATTTGTGGCACACCTTTGTTGTCTCTGCAGCAACTGTAAAAATTTTGCAGGGAAGGCAATGCGTTGCGATCATATTTCCAAGTCTGTAGAACACAGTTGATCCTGTCCTAGTCTTTGAAAGTCAACAGGTGAAGTTTTTGACAGAGGGGACTTTGATGATGGGTTGGAGCCCAGGGACTGTTCAGGATGTCTATTGTACAGAGGAATCTGGCTGAATCACACTGTGTTGGATTCTGATGAGTGAGCTGAGTCTATGCGGGCTCAAGGACATTTTGTATGGTTAGTCTCTGAGATACAAGAACACACAGGAAAAAAACATGAGAAGAAAAAACAGTATAAGTAATCTGCCTGTAGATTTTTAAGAAACAAAATGTATATATACATATCACTTTGTTAAATATTGCAAGAGAATAATTTCATCTAATATCATTGTAAAAGGAAACAGTGTGGCAAAGAAGTACAACCGTAGCAAATTATCTAATTGTGACCCTCTGCGTTTCACTATCTCTTGAGCTTTGCTTATTTTAATTATGGGTATCACACTGGACTCAAGGGGACACTCATTACCCCCAATAAATATCTGAATCCAGGTGAGGCAAAATTGTTTAGAGCAAAATTGTTTAGGCAAAATTGTTACCCTATGTTCAAATCCCAGTTCTGCTCTTACTGTCCTTGCAACCTTGAGTATGTTATTTAATCTTACTAAGAACCCTTTACTTACTGTAAAACAGATACAACAGTCATAATACCTACTTCACTGATTTTTTGGAGAGAAGTAAGTTAGAAAATCTATATTAAGTGCCAGTGCTAAAGTCCAGTACATTGGGAAAAAACTGGCTGAATATTAAGTAACCATTATCATATCAAACAAAACCTTTCATTGATTTATTCTTTCTATACTTGAGACCTGATGAAATTTTCAAAAAATTATTATTATTATTATTATTTTGAGATGGAGTCTGACTCTGTCACCCAGGCTGGAGTGCAGTGGCGTGATCTTGGCTCACTGCAACCTCCACCTCCCGGGTTCAAGCAATTCTCCTGCCTCAGCCTCCTGAGTAGCTGGGATTACAGGCACATGCCACCATGCCAGGCTAACTTTTGTATTTTTAATAGAGACGGGGTTTCACCATGTTGGTCAGGCTGGTCTCAAACTCCTGACCTCGTGATTCGCCCGCCTCGACCTCCCAAAGTGCTGAGATTACAGGCGTGAGCCACCGCGCCCAGCCATTTTTATTAAACATTAGCATATACTTAATCTTTGAGGCCACTGTAATTCAGAAAATACTTGCATTCACTTGCAAAAGATGCAGACACACACATACACAAAACCCATAAGTCAACAACAGGACTGAGAAAAATATAAATCAGAGGGAGGAAATGGAATGCAGATTTGAAGTCTGTACTGGCAGCGCCCAATCAGAAAGCAGAAGCCACAGCAGTTTGTTAAACAGAGAATGTTTAATGGGAAGAAATGATAGCAATGTAGAAAGTTGTTACTTAGGTAACTAAAAAGATAAGAACACAATTAAGAAAAAAAATAGAAGAAAAAACAACATGAGTAAACTGCCTATAAATTTTTAAGCAATAAAAATGTGTATACATATATATGTGTGTATATGTATATATCACTATTTGTTAAATATTGCAAGAGAATAACTTCATATACTATCATTGCAAAAGGGAACACTGCAACAAAGGAATATTGCAGAGGTACAACTTCTGAAAGCAGCTTTCATACTTACAGATGAAGGGGAAATGGGAAGAGGTAGGAATTACTCAAATTTGTAGGCTGGAACCCAAACCTCTGAGGAAGGGGCTGGTTTTGCAAGTACTGGCAAATTTGCAAACCAGACTCAACTGCTTCTGCAGGAAAAAAACTGCTGACGCTGGGGTGAAGAATCTTCCTAGGGTGAGTGTCACAGAGACAACGAGCAGTAGAACAGAGCACCAGGGAGTCAGTGAGAAGGAAATAGGAACGAGTAAGGCCCTTCTCCCTCTTCTAGCCTTGCCGTTTCTCTCCCGCGTCCTCTATCTCCCCCCACCACTCCACCTCTGCCACCTCACAAAGTAGCATATAGGAGAGTGGGGGACAGAGATACTGCATCTGAATTCCAACCTTTAGTCTGAGCCTTCCTGTCTAGCAAATAAAAAGAAAAATAAAGTAAAACAATCAGGCAAAATTAAGTGCAAACATTGTTCTCAGAAAGCCTTCCTATAATGTCTTCTTGTCTTTTAAGAAAAGCCGAACTCGGGACATCGAAGTACAAGTGAGAAAATATTCATGCATCTAAAACAGTATGACTCAGTCAAAGGAAAAAATAAATTATCAGAAACATAACACCAAATTGAGTTATAAAATAAAAGTTGTTCTCAACTAAGGAAAGCATGCCATGGTATGTCTCAGAGAGGAACCTCATTTGAGTGCAGTTAATACCCCCCAAAATGGTAGAGCGACAATGGGGTTGCTCTGGAATCCTACTTTACAATTTTCAAGCTACTTTAAAAATAGGAATTTCTAGTTTATGAGCTTGGATGCTAAAGATATTGTATACTTTATAGTGAAGCCTACTAATGCTTTCTCCAGAGGACATTAGACAGTTTTGGTTGTCCAATACAGTCATGTGCCACATAACATTCTGGTTGAAGACCATATGTATGACAGTGATCCCATAATATTCTAAAACTGTACATTATCTCTTCTATGTTTAGATAGGCTTAGATATACAAATGGTTACAATTGTGTTCTCATTGCCTGCAGTATTCAGTACAGTACCATGCTGTACAGGTTTGTAGCCTAGGAGCAATAGGCTCCACCATAGAGCTTAGGCATATAGTAGGCCCTACCATCTAGGTATGTATAAGTATCATCTCTGATGGTCACATAATGACAAAATTGCCTAATGACACATTTCTGGAAATGTATCTCCGTCATTAAGTGATGCATGATTCTGTCACAATTCTCATGTTACTGTGCCTATGTGAGTAGCAGAAATCACCACCAACTAGAAATTTTGGAAATTCTAGATATATATTTTTCTATTTTTCCTCACAACAGTGGTATGCTAGTTGTGGCATTCAGCGTCCAGTGCCTGGGTAGAAAGTGGTGTCACCGCAGCTTCTAGTGCTCAGTGCTGGTGGCAGTGGAGCTCTCATTAGACACATCCTGTGTCCAATTTGGGGCATTGTTCTCATGAGAGAGACTCTGGCTTCTCAGCTGTCTCAATGTCTTCTCCTCTTCTTGGTTACCTGGCTGTTCAAGGAGGTATTGTTTGTCCTCCTCACTTTCCGTTGGCTTCTCGCTAGGCACAGTTTTGCATAGCCAGCCCTGGATATCGGTGAGTCACAAGATGAGGTCAAGGTGAGCATTCTGAGGACAATTCTGATATCTGAGTTAGCCAACTTCTGAGGGCTCCCATCTGACGAGTTTGAGAAGAGTGTGACTCTGTCTGAAGAATGAAGATGTTTTCAGCAGCTCCTTGTCATTCTGCCTCAGAATCCCAGTTGGAGGAAGAACTAATAGGCTCTGTCCAGCTAGCCACCTATAGGAGCCCTGCTCTCTTCCAAGCTGTCTATTCTGTTTGTTAACTTTCAGACTGATCTAGGGAGCCCTCCCTCTTTTGCCTCCCAATGCAGCACTGTGTCCCAGCAACAAGACCTGCCAGGAACAAAGTCTTCCTGGTAAAGCAGTGGGTAGATTGCACCATCTAAATTCCAGTTCAGTTAAGAGCCTCACCTGCAATCCTGGGACATGTATCCTTTCTCTGCCTAAAATCTGATATAAAGTAAATGAATATTTGAAATTAACAAACTACAATACAGTTGAGTTTATAGGGTCAATTTTAACTCCCTATGCAGTCAAAAAATTTACATGTAAATTTTGACTCTCCCAAAACTTAACTAGTAATAGCCTACTGTCGCCAGGAAGCTTTACCAAAACATAAACAGTTGATTAACATGTTTTTATATTATATGTATTATATACTGTATTCTTAAAGTAAGAGCTAGAGAAAAGAAAATATCATTAACAAAATCGTAAAGAAGAAAACTACACTCACTATTCATTAAGTGGAAGTAGATCATCATCCTCATTGTCTTCACATTGAGCAGGCTGAGGAGGAGGAAGGAGAGGAGGGGTTGTTCTTGCTGTCTCAGGGGTGGCAGAGGCCGAAGAGGTGGAGGAGGTGGAAGGGAAAGCAGGGAAAATGAGAGAGGGAGGCACACGTTTTGTAATTAACAGAAACACATAGTAATTTCTGGCAAACTTTTTTACTTTTTCATTTCTCTAAAAAATGTTTCTATATGGTACCAATCCTTCTTCCATCACTTGTTTTAGTTTCAGCACCCGTGTCATAGAAGGGTCTATGTTGTGGAAACAGTCAAAAGCAGTCCTGAACCATCAGAACCCTTCTACCAAATTGTCGAACGTAAATGTGTTTCCTGGCACTGCTTCTCCTGTGTCTTCTTCCTCGTCGTCTGGCACTGATTCGGAAGCGCTCATCTCCATCAAGTCATCTTCTGTTAATTCCTCTGGTGTGATGTCTGTAAGCTCTTAAATTTCTTCAAGATCCATATCTTGAAATCCTGCACCCTCCATCTTTTTTGCCTTATCCACAATCTCTTTCATGATTTCCTTGATTGGCTCTGTTGTAAATCCTGTGAAGTCATGCGCAACATCTGGACACAGTTTTCTCCAGCAGGAATTTATTGTTTCTGGCTCAGTGGCTTTCACAGCTTTTTCAGTAACAATGATGGCATCTTTAATGGTGTAATCCTCCCAAACATTCATGATATTCTCTCCATTGAGGGTTCTCTTCCATAGCCTTAACAATCTTTTCCATATAATACCCTGTGAAATAAGCCTTAAAAGTCCTAATGACCTCCTGATCCAGAGGGCAAATTAGAGACTTTTGCAGCGGAGGCACATAGACTACTTTGATGCTTTTGTGGTTGAACTCATGGGGTTCTTGGTGGCCAGATACATTGCCCAGTATCAAAAGAACTTTGAAAGGAAGTTACTTACTGGCAAGGTACTGCCTGTCTTCAGGGACAAAGCATGGATAAAACCAATACAGAAAAAGTGTTCCCATTGTCCAGGCCTTCTTATTATGCAATCAAAAGACTGACAGCTGGTGTTTATCTTTTCCCTTCAAGACTCGGAGCTTAGCAGCTTTGTAGATAAGGGGAGTCCTGATCGTAAATCTGACTGCATTTGCACAAAACAGTAGAGTTATTCTGTTCCATCCTGCCTTAATCCTGGTGCTCACTTCTCTTCTTTAGTAATAAATGTCCTTTGTGGTATTTTTTCTTCTACAAAAGGGCACTTCCAATTGCATTAAAAACCTGTTCAGGCAGATATCATTTCTTCTCAATGAGTTTTTCTTTTTTTTTTTTTTTTCTGAAATGGAGGCTTGCTCTGTCACCCAGGCTGGAGTGCAGTGGCCAAAACTTGGCTCGCTGCAACCTCCACTTCCCAGGTTCAAGCGATTATCCTGCCTCAGCCTCCCGAATAGCTGGGATTACGGGCATGAACCACCACACCCAGCTACTTTTTGTATCTTTAGTAGAGATGGGGTTTCACCATGTTGGCCAGGCTGATCTCAAACTTCTGACCTTCTGATTCACCCTCCTCGGCCTCCCAAAGTGCTGGGATTATAGGCGTGAGCCACCAGGCGTGGCCCTCAATGATTTTCTTAATGGCATCTGGGACTTGTTTGCTGCCTCCTGGTCAGCAGAAGCTGCTTCTCCTCTAACTCTAACATTTTTAAAGACAAATTTCTTTCAAAAATTATCAAACCATCCTTTGCTGGCATTAACTTCCCCAGCTTTATATATCTCCCCTTCCTTTTACTTTAAGTTGTTACTTTGCTTTTTGTCAAATCATATTAGAGTTTATAGGTATGCCTTTCTTATAGCAATCCTACACCCACATAAAAGCTGCATTTTCTATATGAGATAAAAAGGTATTTCACAAAAAAGTGCAAGTTTTTTGTGCCTGCTGGCATAGCTGCAGCTACAGCTTCATAAATTTCTTTTTCATTTTTCACAATGGTTTTTATGCTGGAACCATGAAATGAAATGAAATGGTGGGCAACCAGCAGCTGGTAGACCTCAATCTAGGATACATATTGAGCAATTCAAATAATTCTTGTAATATCATGACTTTTTGCTGCTTTTGGGGAGCAATTTCAGCATCACTAGTGGCCCTTCATATAGGTCCCATGGTGTTATTAAAGATTTGCAGTGTTTCATTAAACATGATGAAGAATATACAAGAACCACAAAGATCACTATTTATTGCAATACGCTATTTACTGGACAGAGGGACTATTCACTCAGGGATGATGAACATCACATGTGTTTTAAGTGAATACTGGCAACACTTGAGCTCACCGCAATAACAACAGGAGGTGGCTACAAAATTACGACAGTAGTATAGTATATACTACAGTTAATTTTATGCACTTATGACTTCATATTGCATCTTTGTGTTTGTTTGCATTTCTTTCAACAGCAAATGGCACCACATATTGTCTGTAAATGTTTGTGTGCATAAGTTTTGAACATTTTTAAATGTTTGTTATAGATTTGTGTATATTTTATAGTAGTAAATGTTTAAATAAACTAGCATGTACATGTATTCTACGCATTCATGACACACCTAATTTCTTAATTTTTTACATAGTTCCAAGCTACACAGTTCACCTGTGAGTTTTTTCAAATTGTCACAAATCTCCAAAAATTTCTCCAGTATATTTATTGACTAAGATCCACATATAAGTGGACCCACGCTGTTCAAACCCATGTTGTTCAAGGGTCAACTGTAAATCTCTGCAATGAAGAAAAACGTGACCATGTGACTAAGTTATTCCCAATACAATGTAAGCAGGTGTGCATTTGATGTCCCTGGTACCCTACTGTCCTGTGCACACCAGTTCTACTATCCGGTGAACACTCTGGGCAGGAGACATGACCAGGGTGAGTCCCACTCCAGCATTCTCCAGATGTTTTATCTGCCCTGTAGCCTCTTCTAACCTTTCCATGTCTACCAATAGTCCTATATACATCCTGTTGCCGGCCAGCCAGGGGTGATGTATGCTGCCCATGTGGTTTGGATCCAGGAGGAGTATTTTCTGGTCTACATGCTATTATGAAGGCTACCCACACCCATACCCAGGGAATATTGTATACTAATCTTTCCACCCTTTTCATGCTCTTTTTTAAAGAAGATTCTGTTGAACAAACGACTCTTGTTTAACATTTCACAAATGGTATTTAGAAAGATGTGACTTCAAACCTTTTCCTTTACCAGGGAATACTCCAAAGATTCTACTTATTTCCCTTCATTTTGTAAATGTGTGAAGGAGTCTTTTGAAAATATTAGGAGAATATATTTGTAAACATTCACAATAAATTCCTTTTAGATTTTACTAGAAAATTTTAGTCTGTGTATATATATTTTTTTAATTTTCAAAATTCTTCTATTGCTGAGAATTTTAGAGTTTTTATCAGTCTTCCTGTCATGGTGCCTGGCCTGGGATAGATAGATTTTTAGCAAGCACAAACATCTACAAAAGAATATAAAATGACAAAGTGATCAAATCCCCATGGTACCATGTACAATAATAGGAAAATGGGTCAAAAATATGCTCAAAGTTGCATAATTAATATTTTACCCTAAAAAATGTGGGAAGTCAAAAGCATGGCATGGATATGATGGCACTCTGTGCTCATTTCCGAATACGAGAGTGAACAATTACAAAATTATCTTCCTTTTTACCAGTAAGTTATCTGTAAAGTTAGAGTCTCTCAGTTTTGCTCAGGGCCTGTATTTCCAGTGGCTGTCCTGCCTTTACCTACCAGCAATAGACATAGGTTTTAAGTTCAACCAGTGATACATCGAAACAGATGTTTGGTTTCCACAAGCCACACCCTAAGCAAAAGAAAGCCTTAGGATACTAACAAGCTAATGTAGTTTATGGGCATAAGAATTCAATGTTTAGAAGAGTATAAAAACAAGGTTTACAGAATTATTTTAATTATTCATTAAGATATTCTCTCTTTCTTTTGGGAATATCTTTTTTATAATACTTAAGATTGTATGGTCATTAAAAAAACTCCAGAGGGCACAAGATTTCCCCCTCCTTGCCTGGGAAAGATTTTCTTCTGAGCTATAAATATTAAGATCCTAAATCTTTATAGATGCCTTCTGGTGATACAAGAGGCCTAGGGGACAAGTTTTGAAAAGGGGTGCTTAACAATATTCCCTGGGAATGAGTGATGTTAAAAAAAAATGCTGCTGTTACTTGGAACCATATGAAATTGCTGATACTCAACTATTTTGATCCACAGAAGGGCCACTTCATATGGCTCAGCCTGCCACTCTGACTGATATACTGTATTATAGGTTTATAGTACCTTATAGTTAGCAGAGCCCTTTCTCATGCATGATTTTATTCCACCCTCAAATAATCCATGTGGTAGGAAAGTTATAACTATTTCTTTCTCATAGATGAGAAATCTGTGCTTTAGAGGAAAGATGGGGCTTCCTGGCCTGGATCATGTAACTCTAAAGAAGCGGAGCTGCTGCTCGGACTCTCACTGCAGGCTTCTCGGTAGCAGGCATGGCCTTCACATACAGGTGTCAGGACCGCTCCCAGCTGGGGCAGGAAGTGCAGGCCAACATGGAGACAGAACTCATCTCCCAGCTGAAGTTTCCTGGCTGTCCTTTTTTAATTTACACAAAAACTTGGTCAAATGAATACAGAAACAGAATCACTTCCCTACAGCAGGGATAATCCTTCATAACTGGTCTTCATTACTGATGTTTGGAATGTATTTTTCCCCCCAGTGGAATAAAGGCTGTTGATGTACCTGGATTATTAGGCCTATCTGGTTTGTTACAACTTTGAGAAAGGCGAACAACCTTAGGGGTATACTCATCGTATAGGTTCCCATCAGTGATAGGAGGTGAGCAGAGTGGTAGGCAGAATTCTTAAGTGGCTCCCAAGATTCCCACCCCCTGGTATACAGAGCCTGTATATGTACCTTCCCTTGAATATCTTAGTGGGGATCTGTGAGTATAATAAGGTGGTTACTCCTATGATTGTGTTATGTTCTATAAGACTCCTTCTTAGAAGACTAGAGAGGGATTCTCCTGCAATATGTCATACCAAATTCTGCCAATAACCAGTGAGCTTGGAGGAGATGCCTGAGCTCCAGATGAGACTACAGCCCCAGCTGACCCCCCTTGATTCAGTCTGGTTAGAAACTCTGAGTAGAGGAGTCACCTAACTTGAACCTGGAATCTTGACCCACTGAAATGCTAAGGTATTAAGTTTGTGTTGTTTTAAGCCTTTAAGTTTGTGGTAACTTGCCATCCAGCAATAGAAAACTAATACCAAGACACAGTGCTTCAGATACTTTCATGATTTGCCTACATGGGATTAACCTAAGTTGCCTAACTATTCACTTTGAAGGCTTGGAGAGCATTTATGTGAAGAGAATAATCCATAACCCTGTACCCTAAACTCAAAAGCTATGTTATGTCAACTCATACATTTTCTTTATTCAGTTTCTGGAAAACAACATAATAATAGACTTTCTGTGACATACATATATTTGCTATCTGAAATATCCTCAACAATAGACATTTCTGTTTCCTTTCACAATATAGAAAATTTAAGTAAATACATGCAGTTTTGTTAGTTTTTTTAAACATAATATAAATAACTGCTGTGCTATGTTAGATTGTGTTAACGTTTGCATGGTCCTGCACATTGGTTATGTATTAGCTTCATTTTATAGATGAATACATTAAACCATAGATAGTTGAAATAATTTGTTTAGAACTAGTAACTGGCAATGTTGGAGTAAACTCAGCTTTTCTGACTCCTGAGTTCAAGATTATTTTGATCACGGCACTCCTAAAAAAGCAAAATAAAGAAAATACAATAACTGTAATGGAGAAAGGTGAATACTTTTTCCACAAGAACTAAAATAACAACAATAGCAAAAATCCTTTGGTTAGGAGTGATCATGTTGGTGGATGCGGTGTTTAAGCCAGTTTTCTCCGTAACTAAGTTAGAGCCTCAGGAGCCTGGGATTTCCTCCTGAGAGAGCTCCCCTGGCTCCATCCTCTGTTAATTCACCAAAATGTATATTTTTACCTTGCTGATATTGATTTGATTTGCAGAGACTTTACTTCTTCAGGATTTCAACTTTCTGCTCATCTTTTGTGTAGATATTTTAGATGACCTTTACTGCTTCTGAGTCTGTCCCTCCATTAAGTCTGTGTCTGTTTTTTCCTTTGTGCCTGGAACTCCAGTGTAGTTTATGCCCTGGAATCTCCTGAAGGTGTTAAGGTCATCTTGGGTTCTACAATATGCCAATTCTGTCCAGGTCAAATTACTTATACTGAGAGTTGAATGTTCAAACAATTTAAACCAATGAGCTATGTCCGGTATTTGTTTGATATGTATAAAATATAAAAAATAAGTAATTTTATATCTATATTAACTTGCTAATGAATTGTATAAACCCTTAATGACTGGAATTTTTCATAAATTAAGTATCTAACTATAATTGAACTGGTTAAAAATAATTGAAGTAGACTTAATGGTCAATCAGGCATGAGAAATCATCCATTGCAAAGGTGTTTAACAATTTCTTTTCATATTATGGAGAAAAATATAGGTCAGAAGAAAATAGCAATGTTTTCGTATTTTTCTATAACAAAAGTTGATAGAAACACTTTTCAGGCATAGTGTATATAAAATATTTTATTTCACAGTGACTACAATTAATTCTGGAACAATAGATTATCCACTTGAAGCATCTATTTCAAAAAATATCAAAATCAGGATTAAAAAATTAGAAGCCTTTAAAAAGTTTAATTACTATTTCTTAAATTTTACTTCAAATGTAATGATCCAACTCAACCCAACTTATAATAAAATATAATTGGTTATGCTAAAATATTATGCAAAGAAAACATATTTCAAAGTAATGTGTATAGAATGATTATTTATTTGGACAATTCTGATGGAAAGAGCAAACATCAATATTGTTTTTCTTTTTATGCGAAGAATATGGATCATTTCTTTACTCTTCTACATTTTTTAAGTTATTCCACAAGGAAATACATTATTTTGGTAATAAATAATTAAAATATGATATTTTTACATTCAGCAATTAATATAGGTAAGTATAAAGGAAAGGACTTTCAAAAGTCACTCGCCTGGGGTGTGTTCTCCATGAATAGTTTCTGGATTTCAGATCAGCTCATCTGATTTCTCTGTCCTAACTTTTGACCATACTCTCTAAGTCTATCTTCACTTTCCATGGTTTCCTGGTATTCTCTTTCAAGTTCTGTTCTTGCCTCTTGACAATTTTTTTTTTTTTTTTTTGCTTTTACCTCTTCTCTGGTTTTCATTTTGAAGAACACGAATGTCCTCCTTATTGGTAAATCCACATTTCTTAATCTCTATGTTGATAATTCCCTACTGTTAACTATCTTCTTCTTCTTGAAACAATCTCTCCATTGGCTTCCATGCCACACCGTATCCTCCTGGCTTTCTTCCTCTCTGACTGCTTCCTAATCTCGTTTACCAGTTATTTCTCAGGTTTTATTCTTCTGTGTTAAATGTATGCTTTCCTCTGGACTCTGACCTAAATTATTTTCTTTTCCTGTAATATACTCTTAACCATTTGCCAAATTTTTACTACCTAAATGCTGCCAAAACCCACACTTTTGCGTCCAACCCATGACTTCTCTTCTTAGCTCTAGACCCACGTAAGTGAGAGCCCATATACCACACTCACTGTGTCAAAACCAGAGCTCCTCATGTGTCCTTCCAATCCCGAGCCTCTTCTCATGTTCTTTACACAACAAATAATGCTATCATCTTCCCAGCTGATTGTTCAGAAATTTCAGAGTCCTATGTAACCCCATCTTTTCTTCTTTCTCCTATGTTCAATTAATTACCAAAAGATATTGATTTCCAAAATCTGTCCACTTGTCATTATCTCCATTATCTTCTCCATGGTTTAATCCAACATCAACTGTTTTCTTGGCTAAAGCAAGTCTCTTAACTGATTTCCCCACAATTACTCTTGCTCTCCTAAATTTATAGTTCACACTACACTGAGTGTTATTATTATTATTATTTTGCCAAAGCAAAATGGTCTTTTATTGTCTCAAAAAAATTCTTACTAATTTGAAGAGTCTCTTTATCTAGACCCTGCATTCCTTTTCAGTCTTATCATAAACCATTATCTTCTGTCTATATATTCCAGTCATACTGAACTCTTTCCTTTACGGTTTTTGCATCGTAAATCTATTTTTCTTCCATTCTGTTTTCTGGTTTAATGTCTATTCCTCTTTCAGTTCTTGGTTTATATGCCAGTTCTTCTAGGAAGTCTGCATTGATTCATCCCTCTCCTCAGACTCAGTAAGATCCCTTTCTTTTAAACTTCAATAGCACAAGTTAGTTTCTTAATATCTGCCATCTCCACCTGACTGTACATTTCAGGAGGGCAAGCCTGTGTGTACTTTTGCTTTGCAGTTTTTTTCTCAGGACCTACAACAATGCAGACTCTATAACGGTGCAGTCACGTTGCAGATACTCAATAAACATGTGTTGAATAAATGACTGATGGGACGGTGTTGGTTCTTACATACCAGCTGTCCCCAGTGTTCTGCCAGCTCCTTGTCAGCTGAGGCCTTGTCCCAATTATGAAAGAATACAGAGGAAAGACAGAGAAACAACTTACCGCTCTTCCTTGTCCTGACATGCCCTGGACCATGCCTTTTTACAAGCTGCTGAGCCTTAGTTATTATGTGTGAGGAATAGAGTATTTCTTACAGCCCAA
Source organism: Homo sapiens (assembly GCF_000001405.40). Classification (NCBI taxonomy): domain Eukaryota; kingdom Metazoa; phylum Chordata; class Mammalia; order Primates; family Hominidae; genus Homo; species Homo sapiens. The sequence goes on along the minus strand of NC_000006.12, from coordinate 9,225,716 downwards.
GAAGGTCTTTCTTTCTCTGCATTCATGGAAAGAATAGGGATAAGTGTGTGTAATTGCTGGCTCTGGTCCTAGTCAGAAGCTTGAGGAACCAGAAAACCCAGGACATATTTCTTGTCTTCTGTCTGAGAGTTTGCACGTTGACATCAATCAGTGGTCAGTGAGGAACTGCAGACTACGTGGAATGGGGCTGGGAGTGGAAGAAGGAATGTTACTGCTTCATCCAAAACAAATTTCTCAGTTGTTTGACAGTTGTTGAGCAATGAGAAAAGATGCAGTCAATTTTTGATTTTTTATTTCGCACTTATGATCTGAAGTCTTTTGGCAACACATCATGCTAGTCAAGAGTGGTGGAAGAGACATTGCCATAGTTTCTTCTTTAAGGTTTAAGATCTAGATGGCATACAACAACAACAAAAAAACAAAGGTAAGGTAAAACAAGACTACTATTAATATGTAGACATAGCTCTATTTATATATGCTAAGCCAAACTAACAAAATAGAATACCTACATAATTTCCAAAGTTTCAGAAAATTGTTAAACATTAAACAAGATACAAAAACTTAAAGTTTTAATGTTTTGACATTTCAAAGATTTCAAGAATTAGAAATTATTTCTAAATTTTTCCAGTTGCGGCCTCAGACTCACTAGAAGTTTGAAGATGGAGTTCACGCTTGGAAAGATCATCTTGGGTTTGGCTATAGGCCTGTTCAGTCAAATCATTCATATTTTTCTTCTAAGAGGAAAGGCAAAAACTCCAAATGATTTACATAGATGCCCCTAGGAAGGAAACCCATAAAAAATATAAGCAAATTAATGGGGAAGGATTGTGAAGAACTGCAATATGTCTGAGATTTTTATCCTATTTGGACATGAACAAATTAGCCTGCCATAGTTTCTTGGTTGCTAGCAGAAGACGTGAGACTCCTGGTTCAGAGACAAGGACTTTATGACTCACAGTACAGCAAGCAGCATGGGCATCATGTCTGTGCTGAATCATATTGCCTCTTGCCTTCCAAATCCTAGAGGGTAATACTGAAGGGCCCTGGTGGATCTTTCACATACAGTTGGTTTGTGTGAGGCAATCAACACATACAGCTGGGGAATCCTAAACTCAGGATACCTGAATGTTTTATAAGCAGCTAAAAGCATATTGGCCTTTTCTGCCAGAGGGGGACTCTAAATTCCAAGGCTCTTCATTCTATAACCATCCTTGAAAAAAATAGCCCCTGTGCTCACAAGACATACACAAAAATGAAGAGCCATGATAGTTGTTAAAATAAAGGGAAAGACTTAGTTTTGCATTTTTCTGTTTTCTTTTTATCTTTCTTAGCTTAGACCTAGAAAGCAGAGGATGCTTCAAATAAAACCAGTTGCTTGTGCTGTTACAATGAACGTACATGATTAGATATTTATTTATGTCTTTTCTTTGTTTTCCCTCATCATGACCCAATTTGCTTAGTATACAGTAAGGACCAATAAATGTTTTTTATCTGTATGAATGCTCAGAGGGGTGTAATATAAGCATTGCTACAGCTCATTTCCAGAAAAGAGGCCACAGTTGTATAGATTTTTTTAAAAATTACCAACGACTGGCCCAACTCTACTCTGACTTTGGCCACACAACTCTCAATACTGAATAATATCAAGCTGTAGTTCAGACATATCACCTAGTAGGATGTTTATTGTTATTTTATGTCTGTGTTACACTGATAAAATTAAACAATACTATGCTGCATCACTTTATTTATGCATAGGAATACAAACAATTCTACCAGGAGTTTTAATGTTAGTTGTGTGTATCAGGGCATAAACCCATGAAAAACACTTCCTTTACCTGTGGGAAGCTGATACCTCATAAATATGTGGCCTTCTCCTGCTGAGTGTAAAGACTGGTAAATAAAGGGCTCTCTGATAGAAAAAGTGCTCATCCCTGTGAGGTCAATGAGTCCTTTAAAGGCACGCTGGTTCTATTGAGTGCCCTAGAAGAGTTCATTAACCCGACACAAATAGACCATTTACTGCTACCTAGAAGATCATGCTAATTAAATTGTTCTGTTTCTCCACTTATGTCCTGATTTTCTATGAATACATGAATGTTTTGAGTCTCATTCCCCATGTCTTTGTTGAAAACAGAGATGATTACAGATTCACACTCTCTTACTTGAACATCTGTGTTTTAAGTCTCAGGCTTCTTTGGACTTCTTCAAAACCATTTTTGTAAAACCTTGTCACAGTAATGTTATACTAAGTAAGATCAGTCAAGATGGAGGATTTTTTTTTTTTTTTTTTTTTTTTGAGACGGAGTCTCGCTCTGTCGCCCAGGCTGGAGTGCAGTGGCGTGATCTCGGCTCACTGCAAGCTCCGCCTCCCGAGTTCACGCCATTCTCCTGCCTCAGCCTCCCGAGTAGCTGGGACTACATTTCTATCTCTGCTTTGTTTCATTCCCAAACTCGCAGGTTTCTCATGAGTTTTATGTTTGTTGGATGAGTCATTTAATGTTAAAGTGCCTGGTATACAAAACATCAATAATGATGTGCATTATTATACTTATATGCAATTGTCTATAAATATCTATAACCATTATCTATGCATGAGTTTTATTCACTTCCTTCTTGCTAAAATTCAAAAATGTCATTTCTCTTACTTAAGGCTAATTTCTACATTTGTGCTATGGATTTCATCCTCATCAGTCTTAAATTATAAGCAGGTCTTCTCTTTTACATATACAACCTCTCATTCCAAATCTCTATTTCTATGTCTCTCAACTGGAACTTTCCCTTTCCCAGTCGCTTTTAACTGTACTCATGTGTCCTCTATAAAACAACATTAACAAATACTCTCTAGACATCGTTTCTCTTTCTAGTAATTTCCCTCTCTATTTTCTCCACTGTATAGCCAAACTTCTCAAAAGAGTTAGTTTTATTACTATTTCCTCACTTTATCCCAATATGGATTTGTCCACTTTATACCATTGAAATTGTTTTCATTAAGGTTAACAATAACATCTGTTAATAGATCATGGAATCCAAGAGATATTTCCAGTCATCTTTTGTACAAGTTATCCTAGCTGCATTTAAGACTTTTGATTACCTTTCAATATGTTTCTCTTATATTGGCATTTAGACTCCACTTTCTCCAGGTTTTCTCTTTTTAACTTTTGACTTTTTTTTTTAGAACCAGCCTCATCTACATTAAGCATGAAATACAGGTCCGAGGGATTCTCTTCTCTTTTATTGATTTCAAGCATATTTGTAGTTTGAATTATATCATATAGATGATTTACAAATGTGTAGCTTTAGCCCAGATACCCTCTGATTTCCAGACCTGTATATTCCTCTATGTTCTCGTCATTTTCTTTTAGAAAGTCAAAGCCCTCTAAAACTGGAATTTTCCACTTAGGACTCATTTACATTCCCTTACCCTTCCCACACACACATAATTCTCAAAAAAAAAAAAAAAAAACAGCAAAAACGCCATCTAACCTATCCACTCCAGAAATCTTGAGTCATCTTTGATACTTCCCTTTCTCAAATACATAAGAAAATCCCATTATTTTTTCCCTCCTAGACAGTTCTTACGATCTGTAGTCCACCACCCTGGATCATACTCTCAATATCTTCCTCAAAGATGACTATAGTAGGTTCCCAGGAATCTGTCTGGATCCCCTCCAATCCATTCTGAAAACAAGAGTTTTCGACATGTATGACTCTTCCAAAAAATTATCTATGTCACTGTTTCAGCCTCTTATTGTCCTCAAGACAAAGCCAACTCCCCCATGTGGCCAGCCATGCCCTTTCCAGATGCCCTCTCCATGTTCGTCTTCATCCTCTGTCACTGCCCATGAGGGCTCTTCTTTCCAGCCCTCATTTTACATGTGCTCCTTCCTGCCATGGTTATTGTGCATGCACTGTTCCCTCTTCTGGGATGTTCTTATCCTGCATCGTCATTAAGTTCACTCTACCTGATCCTTCAGCACTCGGATCAAGTGTTCCTTGCTCAGGGAAGCCTCTGCTGATTCATTGACTAGGTCAGTTTTCCTTATTACATGTTCTCAGAGCATGGTTTTTACCTCTCTGTTGTAGCTCTTGTCAACAGTAACAATTTTACATGTTTACGTGATTATTTGGTGAATATCTCTCTCCTCCACCAGAATACTATATACACAAAATTAGAGATGAGTCTGTTTTCGCTCATTGCTGAAGATCACAATCGAGAGGCATATAAAAGGCACTTGGCAAATAATTAAAGAAATGACGAAAAAGCCGCAAAAGCAACAGTTTAGGAATGAAAGACTTGTAGAATGGAAGGAAGTCAAGAAATTCAGAAAGAAATGGAGAAAAGAGAGAAAGAAGAAAAAGAACAATGAGAAAAGAAGGATTAAACAAAAACTTTGAGAAAAAAAAAAGCAAAAACAAAAAACAAACAAAACCAAAAACAAGTATTAAATATTTGGCATGTGCTAAGCACCATCACCATGTTAAAATCTTTGTAAGTATTACGCTTAAAACAAATCCAAAGGCTGAACTATTCTTATGGATGAGACAACTGGGGCAGGGGCATAGGGAAGTTCAGGATCACACTCCGCTTAGGTGCTGGGATTTAAACCTCAGTCTGTTAGAATGGAGTGAAATAAGTTACCTAAGAATTATTAAGGCCAAGATTACAATTTTGAATTAAACATTCTGGGCAACACAGAGTGCCTGAGAGTTTTTGCGAAGGAAGCTTATGTGTTCCCTATAGCATATATAAAAATAACCTAACATCTGGCTGGGCATGCTGGCTCAAATGTGTAATCCCAGCATTTTGGGAGGCTGAGGCGGGTGGATCACCTGAGGTCAGAGTTCAAGGCCAGCCTGGCCAACATGGCAAAACCCTGTCTCTACTAAAAATACAAAAATTAGCCAGGTATGGTGGAGGGTGCCTGTAATCCCAGCTACTCAAGAGGCTGAGGCAAGAGAATCACCTGAACCTGGGAGGTGGAGGTTGCAGTGAGCCGAGATTGCACCACTGCACTCCAGCCTGGGTGACAGAGTGAGACTCCGTCTCAAAAAATAAATAAATAAATAAATAACCTAACATCTTTTTTTAAATCATCATTATTACTATTTTATTATTATACTTTAAGTTCTAGGGTACATGTGCCCAAAATGCAGGTTTGATACATAGGTATACATGTGCCATGTTGGTGTGCTGCACCCATCAACTCATCATTTACATTAGGTATTTCTCCTAATGCTATCTACCCACCAGCCCCCCACCCCCCAACAGGCCCCGGTGTGTGATGTTCCCTGCCCTGTGTCCAAGTGATCTCATTGTTCAATTCCCACCTATGAGTGAGAACATGCAGTGTTTGGTTTTCTGTCCTTGTGATAGTTGCTGAGAATCATGGTTTCCAGCTTCATCCATGTCCCTGCAAAAGACATGAATTTCTCCTTTTACATGGCTGCATAGTATTCTGTGATGTATATGTGTCACATTTTCTTAATCCAGTCCTTCATTGATGGACATTTGGGTTGGTTCCAAGTCTTTGATATTGTGAATAGTGCTGCAATAAACATACGTGTGCATGTGTCTTTATAGCAGCATGATTTATAGTCCTTTGGGTATATACCCACTAATGGGATTGGTGGGTCAAATGGTATTTCTAGTTCTATATCCTTGAGGGATCACCACACTGTCTTCCACAATGGTTGAACTAGTTTACACTCCCACCAGCAGTGTAAAAGGGTTCCTATTTCTCCACATCCTCTCCAACATCTGTTGTTTCCTGACTTTTTAATGGCTGCCATTCTAACTGGCATGAGATGGTATCTCACTGTGGTTTTGATTTGCATTTCTCTGATGACCAGTGATGATGGGCATTTTTTCACGTGTCTGTTGGCTGCATAGATATCTTCTTTGGAGAAGTGTCTGTTCATATCCTTTGCCCACTTTTTGATGGGGTTGTTTGCTTTTCTCTTGTAAATTTGTTTGAGTTCTTTGTAGATTCTGGATATTAGCCCTTTGTCAGATGGGTAGATTGCAAAAGTTTTCTCCCATTCTGTAGGTTGCCTGTTCACTCTGATGGTAGTTTCTTTTGCTGTGCGGAAGCTCTTTAGTTTAAGTAGATCCCATTTGTCAATTTTGGCTTTTGTTGCCATTGCTTTTGGTGTTTTAGTCATGAAGTCCTTGTCCATGCCTATGTCCTGCATGGTATTGTCTAGGTTTTCTTCTAGGGTTTTTATGGTTTTAGGTCTAACATTTAAGTCTTTAATCCATCTTGAATTAATTTTTGGATAAGGTGTAAGGAAGAGATCCAGTTTCAGCTTTCTACATATGGCTAGCCAGTTTTCCCAGCACCATTTATTAAATAGGGAATCCTTTCCCCATTTCTTGTTTTTGTCAGGTTTGTCAAAGATCAGACAGTTGTAGATATGCGGCGTTATTTCTGAGGCCTCTGTTCTGTTCCATTTGTCTATATCTCTGTTTTGGTACCAGTACCATGCTGTTTTGGTTACTGTAGCCTTGTAGTATAGTTTGAAGTTGGGTAGCGTGATGCATCCAGCTTTGTTCTTTTGGCTTAGGTTTGTCTTGGCAATGCAGGCTCTTTTTTGGTTCCATATTAACTTTAAAGTAGTTTTTTCCAATTCTGTGAAGAATTTTTCCCAATTCCAAAAGCATTGGAAGTCATTGGTAGCTTGATGGGGATGGCATTGAATCTATAAATTACCTTGGGCAGTATGGCCATTTTCATGATACTGATTCTTCCTATCCATGAGCATGGAATGTTCTTCGATTTGTTTGTGTCCTCTTTTATTTTATTGAGCAGTGTTTGTAGTTCTCCTTGAAGAGGTCCTTCACATCCCTTGTAAATTGGATTGCTAGGTATTTTATTCCCTTTATAGCAATTGTGAATGGGAGTTCACTCATGATTTGGCTGTCTGTCTGTCTGTTATTGGTGTATAGGAATGCTTGTGATTTTTGCACATTGATTTTGTATCCTGAGACTTTGCTGAAGTTGCTTATCAGCTCAAGGAGATTTTGGGCTGAGATGATGGGGTTTTCTAAATATACAATCATGTCATCTACAAACAGGGACAATTTGACCTCATCTTTTCCTAATTGAATACCCTTTACTTCTTTCTCTTGCCTGATTGCCCTGGCCAGAACTTCCAACACTATTTTGAATAGGAGTGGTGAGAGAGGGCATCCTTGTCTTGTGCTGGTTTTCAAAGGGAATGCTTCCAGTTTTTGCCCATTCAGTATGATATGGGCACTGGGTTTGTCATAAATAGCTGTTATTATTTTGAGATACACTCCATCAATTCCTAGTTTATTGAGAGCTTTTAGCATGAAGGGCTGTTGAATTTTGTCAAAGGTCTTTTCTGCATCTATTGAGATAATAATGTGGTTTTTGTTGTTGGTTCTGTTTATGTGATGGATTATGTCTATTGATCTGCATATGTTGAACCAGCCTTGCATCCCAGGGATGAAACTAACCTGATTGTGGTGGATAAGCTTTTTGATGTGCTGCTGGATTCGGTTTGCCAGTATTTTATTGAGGATTTTTGCATCAATGTTCATCAAGGATATTGGTCTAAAATTCTCTTTTTTTGTTGTGTCTCTGCAAGGCTTTGGTATCAGGATGATATTGGCCTCATAAAATGAGTTAGGGAGGATTCCCTCTTTTTCTATTGATTGGAATAGTTTCAGAAGGAATGGTACCAGCTCCTCTTTGTACCTCTGGTAGAATTCGGCTATGAATCTGTCTGGTCCTGGACTTTTTTTGGTTGGTAGGCTATTAATTATTGCCTCAATTTCAGAGCCTGTTATTGGTCTCTTCAGAGATTCAACTTCTTCCTGTTTTAGTCTTGGGAGGGCGTATGTGTCCAGGATTGATCCATTTCTTCTAGATTTTCTAGTTTATTTGTGAAGAGGTGCTTATAGTATTCTCTGATGGTAGTTTGGGATCGGCTTTGATATCCCCTTTATCATTTTTTATTGCTTCTATTTGATTCTTCTCTCTTTTCTATTAGTCTTGATAGCAGTCTATCAATTTTGTTGATATTTTCAAAAAACCAGCTCTTGGATTCATTGATTTTTTTGAAGGGTTTTTTTGTGTCTGTATCTCTTTCAGTTCTCTGATCTTAGTTATGTCTTTTTTTTTTTTTTTTTTTTTTTGAGACGGAGTCTCGCTCTGTCGCCCAGGCTGGAGTGCAGTGGCGGGATCTCGGCTCACTGCAAGCTCCGCCTCCTGGGTTCACGCCATTCTCCTGCCTCAGCCTCCCAAGTAGCTGGGACTACAGGCGCCTGCCACTACGCCTGGCTAATTTTTTGTATTTTTAGTAGAGACGGGGTTTCACCGTTTTAGCCGGGATGGTCTCTATCTCCTGACTTCGTGATCCGCCCGCCTCGGCCTCCCAAAGTGCTGGGATTACAGGCGTGAGCCACCGCGCCCGGCCGATCTTAGTTATTTCTTGCCTTGTGCTAGGTTTTGAATTTGTTTGCTCTTGCTTCTCTAGTTATTTTAATTGTGATGTTAGGGTGTCAATTTTAGATCTTTCCTGCTTTCTCTTGTGGGCATTTAGTGCTATAAATTTCCCTCTACACACTGCTTTATATGTGTCCGAGAGATTCTGGTACGTTGTGTCTTTGTTCTCATTGGTTTCAAAGAACATTTGTATTTCTGCCTTCGTTTCATTATTTACTCAGTAGTCATTCAAGAGCAGGTTGTTCAGGTGCTGGAGAGGATGTGGAGAAATAGGAACACTTTTACACTGTTGGTGAGACTGTAAATTAGTTCAACCATTGTGGAAGACAGTGTGGTGATTCCTCAAGGATCTAGAACTAGAAATACCATTTGACCCAGCCATCCCATTACTGGGTATATACCCAAAGGATTATAAATCATGCTGCTATAAAGACACATGCACACCTATGTTTATTGCAGCACTATTCACAATAGCAAAGACTTGGAACCAATCCAAATGTCCATCAATGATAGACTGGATTAAGAAAATGTGGCACATAGACACCATGGAATATTATGCAGCCATAAAAAAGGATGAGTTCATGTCCTTTGCAGGGACATGGATGAAGCTGGAAACCATCATTCTCAGCAACTATCGAAGGACAGAAAACCAAACACTGCATATTCTCACTCATAGGTGGGAACTGAACAATGAGAACACTTGGACACAGGGTGGGGAACACCATACACTGGGGCCTGTTGTGGGGTGGGTGGAGGGGGGAAGGATAGCATTAGGAGATATATGTAATGTAAATGACGAGTTAATGGATGCAGCCCACCAACATGGCACATGTATATATATGTAACAAACCTGTGCGTTGTGCACATGTACCCTGGAACTTAAAGTATAATAATAATAATAATAAAAAGAGCAGGTTGTTTCCATGTAGTTGTGTGGTTTTGAGTGAGTTTCTTAATCCTGACTTCTAATTTGATTGCACTGTGGTCTGAGAGACAGTTTGTTGTGATTTCTGTTCTTTTACATTTGCTGAGGAGTGCTTTACTTCCAACTATGTGGTCAATTTTGGAATAAGTGTGATGTGGTGCTGAGAAGAATGTATATTCTGTTGATTTGGGGTGGAGAGTTCTGTAGATGTCTACTAGGTCTGCTTGGTGCAGAGCTGAGTTCAAGCCCTGGGTATCCTTGTTAACCTTCTGTCTTGTTGATCTGTCTAATGTTGGCAGTGGGGTGTTAAAGTCTCCCATTATTATTGTGGGGGAGTCTAAGTCTCTTTGTAGGTCTCTAAGGACTTACTTTATGAATCCGGATGCTCCTGTATTGGGTGCATATATATTTAGGATAGTTAGTTCTTCTTGTTGAATTGATCCCTTTACCATTATGTAATGGCCTTCTTTGTCTCTTTTCATCTTTGTTGGTTTAAAGTTTGTTTTATCAGAGACTAGGATTGCAACCCCTGCTTTCCATTTGCTTGGTAGATCTTCCTCCATCCTTTTAGTTTGAGCCTATGAGCATCTTTGCACATGAGATGGGTCTCCTGAATACAGCACACTGATGGGCCTTGACTCTTTATCCAATTTGCAGTCTGTGTCTTTTAATTGGGGCATTTAGCCCATTTATATCTAAGATTAATATTGTTATGTGTGAATTTGATCCTGTCATTATGATGTTAGCTGGTTATTTTGCTCATTAGTTGATGCAGTTTCTTCCTAGCACTGATGGTCTTTACAATTTGGCATGTTTTTGCAGTGGCTGGTACCGGTTGTTTCTTTCCATGTTTAGTGCATCCTTCAGGAGCTCTTGTAAGGCAGGCCTGGTGGTGATAAAATCTCTCAGCATTTGCTTGTCTGTAAAGGATTTTATTTCTCCTTCATGTATGAAACTTAGTTTGGCTGGATATGAAATTCTGGGTTGAAAATTCTTTTCTTTAAGAATGTTGAATATTGGCCCCCACTCTCTTCTGTCTTGTAGGGTTTCTGCTGAGGGATCTGCTGTTAGTCTGATGGGCTTCCCTTTGTGGGTAACTCGACCTTTCTCTCTGGCTGCCCTTAACATTTTTTCCTTCATTTCAACCTTGGTGAATCTGACAATTATGTGTCTTGGGGTTGCTCTTCTTGAGGGGTATCTTTGTGGTGTTCTCTGTATTTCCTGAATTTGAATGTTGGTCTGCCTTGCTAGGTTGGGGAAGTTCTCCTGGATAATATACTGCAGAGTGTTTTCCAACTTGGTTCCATTCTCCCCATCACTTTCAGGTACACCAATCAAACGTAGATTTGGTGTTTTCACATAGTCCCATATTTCTTGGAGGCTTTGTTCATTTCTTTTTACTCTTTTTTCTCTAAACTTGTCTTCTCACTTTATTTCATTAATTTGATCTTCAGTCACTGATACCCTTTCTTCCACTTGATCAAATCAACTATTGAAGCTTGCACATGTGTCGCAAAGTTCTCATGCCATGGTTTTCAGCTCCATCAGGTCATTTAAGGTCTCCTCTACACTGTTTATTCTAGTTAGCCATTCGTCTAACCTTTTTTTTCAGGGTTTTTAGCTTCCTTGCAATGGGTTCGAACGTGTTCCTTTAGCTCAGAGAAGCTTGTTATTACCGACCTTCTGATGCCTACTTCTGTCAACTCATCAAATTCATTCTCTGTCCAGCTTTGTTCCCTTGCTGGTGAGGAGCTGCAGTCCTTTGGAGGAGGCGCTCTGATTTTTAGAATTTTCGGCTTTTCTACTCTGGTTTCTCCCTCTCTTTGTGGTTTTATCTACCTTTGGTCTTTGATGTTGATGACCTACAGATGGGGTTATGGTGTAGATGTCCTTTTTGTTGATGTTGATGCTATTCCTTTCTGTTTGTTAGTTTTCCTTCTAATAGTCAGGTCCCTCAGCTGCAGGTCTGTTGGAGTTTGCCAGAGGTCCACTCTAGACCCTATTTGCCTGGGTATCACCAGCAGAGGCTACAGAACAGCAAATATTGCTGCCTGATCCTTCTTCTGGAATCTTCATCCCAGAGGGGCACCCGCCTATATGAGGTGTCTTTTGGCCCCTACTTGGAGGTGTCTCCCAGTTAGGCTACACAGGGGTCAGAGACCCACTTAAGGAGGCAGTCTGTCTGTTTTCAGAACTCAACGCCGTGTTGGGAGAACCACTGCTCTCTTCAAGGCTGTCAGACAGGGACATTTAAGTTTGCAGAAGTTGTCTGCTGCCTTTTGTTAAGCTAAGCCCTGCCCACAGAGGCGGAGTCTAGAGGCAGAAGACCTTGCTGAGCTGCGGTGGGCTCCCCTGAGTTAGAGCTTCCAGGCCGCTTTACCTACTCAAGCCTCAGCAATGGTGGACACCCCTCCCCCAGCCAGGCTGCTGCCTTGCAGTTCGATCTCAGACTGCTGCACTAGCAGTGAGCAAGGCTCCATGGGCGTGGGACCCACCAAGCCAGGCACGAGAGAGGATCTCCTTGTCTGCCGGTTGCTAAGACCTTGGGTAAAGCTCAGTATTTGCATGGGAATCTCTTATTTTTCCAGGTACAGTCTATCACGGCTTCCCTTGGCTAGGAAAGGGAAATCCCCCAATCCCTTGTGCTTCCCGGGTGAGGCAACGCCCCACCCTGCTTCAACTCGCCCTCTGTGGGCTGCACCCACTTTCCATCCAATCCCAATGAGATGAACCAGGTACCTCAGTTGGAAATGTAGAAATCACCTGTCTTCTCCATCAATCACGCTGGGAGCTGCAGACCAGAGCTCTTCCTGTTCAGCCATCTTAACCTAACATCTTTAACTAGATCATGCAGGAAAAATTGGTTAAAATACATGACTAGGTTAACTATTAAATAACCCTTATTTTATTATAAAATAATGCTTTGATTTAAAAATAATAGTTTATGTTCAGTACCAACAATGACTATTTTTTGAATGGGCAAGGAAGAAGATGAACATTAAACTTTGATTGAGGATCCTCATAAGACAATAAGCAATTAATATTCTCAGTCTAATTTTCAGTTTAAAAGACATGAAGTTCTATACTTTAAAAATATTAAGAATTTTTAAGGCCAATTAAAAGTGTGATTAAAAGTGTGAGAGTGTGGCAATGATAGACATACTAGGTAAGAACAAAGTGAAAACAATTTGTATTTGTTCCGTGGTTATATCCAGGTGAGACAAGGCAGTGCCAGTCTCTACTGTATGCGTCCCCTCCACACTGGATGTTTCACATGCAAGTCACACAAGCTTCACATCATCCTGCAATATAGGTCAATATAGGTATTATTCTTTTTTATTTATTTTATTGAAGAGGGGAATGAGTCTCAGACAGACATAGCACGTTATACAAGATCGTAAAATTAGTAAGTAGAGAAACCAGGGTTAGTCTGACCAGAAGTCATATGGGTTTTCAATTTCACATGCTCCCCCATAGGACTGATTATGGAGAATGGGGCAAGAAGGAGGATATAGCACTTTAGCAGCCAAGGTTATGAGTTTAAAGTAATTTGAGAAAAAAATCCACACATTTCATTAAACTTTCTTAGTTTAAACATAACTATTAACTAACTTGTGTTTATTATCCTATACTTTCTTAAAAGTGCTTTGCATGCAATATATCAATTTAGTATTACAATCACCCATTAAAATAGGTAATATAACTTCCAGTTTGCAGATATGGAAACTGAAGTGGAGCCATGTTAATTGACCTGCCCAATATTACTCAGTAAGTGTTGGAGTGGGAACATGGACAAACTGCTTTCCAAAACCCTGTGGTTTATTGGATATTCATTGGGAAAAAAAACAATTTTTTTTGAAGAAAGGAAGTTTGAGTATTCCTAAGCATTAAAAGAGAAAAAGCTAAATTGCTGGTTAAATAAGAAAAGGAAGTATGAATAATTCAACAAGATCTTAGTTTCAAGAGCTACATATTTTGTGACAACTTTAGGATTAAAAGAACAGAAAGGAAAATAAACTTTGCTTTTATCATAATTATTAGCATCCTAATCTTTACTATTCTTCATTCATATTATTAGATTGTTAATTAATTTTATGCAGATATTAATGGTTTGAAAAAATCTATGCAAAAGAAAGCCATGTTAGTCTTTCTTGATAATATATATGTTGCTATTAAGAAATTGCTGAAAGTCTAAGAGCCATGATAAAAACACATTATTTATAGAAAACATGTAGTGTCTTAAATAATGAACCGAGTCAAAATTTAAGTTTTCAAGTCAAGTTGAATAACCAAATGTTTTTCATATTTATAGAAAGCACGCGTCTCTGGTATGTATGGACTTTTAAAATACAGAAGTTAATTCTTAAAATCCTTCATGAGGCTTAGGCTAGGTTACTAGTTGCCCAGCTAGTTTGGGAGAACATCTGATTTCTCAATTTTTAGAAATAATTTAGAAAGCTCAATTGCTAAGAAGCTAACAGTATTCCTATTTCCATCCCTAGTTGATGGAAAATAGTTTTTAAAAATATAACAATATATAGCAGTAATTTCCCAACTTAAGAAATTAATTGACACACACAGTTATGAATAATAGAGGAGAAAAGAGTTGAAAATAAGGACATACAATCTAAGAACTTCTACTTTGATAAGACCCATTTAATAATATTAAAATAAATGAAGATGCAGTAGAGTTCCCTAAGATATTTTTAAAAATAGGTTTAATGAGACTATAGGAAAAAAACACACACACACACAAATTTAAGCAGTGAGAAATGATACTCTTTTTTGCTTCTTAATATTATAATGACCTCCACATCATCTACTTGAATTAGTGTAATTTATCGTATTCAGGTTTTTCAGAAGTTGATATTATCTATGAGTTTCTCTGATTTTTTAAAAACATGTAAATTGCCTTGAATTTGGATATGCAAATCCATTATCTCAAAGCTAGAGAGAGCTTTGAAAAAGCTGTCTTCTTAGGTAGTAGAGGGAAAGGTACTCCTCCTAACTTCAGCATTCCCTTAAAGAAAGGTCAATCTAAAGCTTGCCATGTTTGCAGAAACCATCTCCTACCCTCCTTTCCTCGTTACACATGGCCAAGTATATGCTGAAAAGAATCTGCTCTAGTAAACAGGCCGAATTTTAAAAAGTGGCACGAGATGAGATGAAAAGGAAGTGTGTGTATCAATCTGATCTTTTTCAGGAGCAAGGAATAATCAGGAGAGAATTGAAGTCAGATGGACATCCTGGCTTCCTGTGGAACAGAAACTCAAAATCAAAGCCCTGTCATCTCTCCAAGTCCCTTCTAAAATGTGGCTTCTGGGTCTGCAAATTATCCTCTATCTGCCATTGGTGCTGACTCTATGGAAATTATTTCTCTTTGGAGTGCAGGATAATGCAATAATTGAGAATCTAGGTTTTATAGATAGAACAGAATTAAGATAGTATTCTAGCTCTGACACCAGGCAGGTGTCCTCAGGCAATTGACGTATACAAGGGCCTTAGGCAATTGTATTTATACTTGTATTTATAAAAGTTCCTTGGGCAATGGTTTCTACTCTCTAACCATTTTAGGAATAACTTAGGATGCCTATCTCAGAGGACCACTGGGTGTATTTGATGACATAAAATACAGAAAACTCTCACACTTTATTTGCTAGTCCTGTTGATTTTTCTTTTAAAGGTAACTACTATAACAATTATGAAGAGTAATTAAAAAGAGAAGAAGAAGATGAGGAAAACAAAAAGAAACAAGAAAGCAAAAAGCGAACAGTTGCAGCAAAAAAAGGGTCACAGTTGCAGCACCGCCTAATATGTCCCTGGGCATCTTGTTGATAATCACAGAATCCTGTTCTACTTTGGATTTGTAGCCAGGGATGCCTGTATGTACAACCATAAATTCTCTCTTTGCCCGTCTCCCTGCCTTCATTGCATAGGTCTTTGTCATGCCTAGGCATCCTTTCCTTCATCAGATACTTTTCCCTTCCTGCAGTCTTTTTGGATGTCTAGAGCCTATGGGATGACCACTCCCATTCTAAGAGGGCACCGATTCCCCATCACTCCTGTCATTTCCCTCAAAGTTCCATATTCAGTAACCTGTCCCTTGGTAAACCATCAGACAAAACGGTGGCATTTTAGTGTTAACGTCTAATAGAAACTTTAATGTATTATTTGCCCAAAGGTTTTTAAATGGCTGTATTCATCAGCATTCAACCAGAGGGACAGAACCAGGAGGACAGAACCAGTCGGAGATATTAGAGATTTATTATAAGATATTGGCTTGCCTCATTGTGGAGGATGCCAAAGCAATTCTGAAATCTGAAGGACAGCTGTCAGGAGGGACACGCCAGAACACTTGGGCATGAGCTGAAGTTGCTGCCCAGAGATAGAAATTTTTTCTTCTGGGATTCCTCAGTACTTCTCCTAATAACTTTCAACTGTTGGAATCAGGTTCACCTAGCCTATCTAGGATATCTCCGTTACTTAAAGTTAATTGGTTACGAACTTTAATTATCTCTACAAAATACCTTCACCACATACCTAGATGTGTGATTGAATAACTAAGGATTATAGCCTAGCCAAATTGACACATAAACTGACCATCACACTCCACCCGTTGTCAACTTAACATCCATATATATATCTCCTTAAACCATACTTAATCTCCAAAGGACAATAGCATAGTTGTATTTCTGTCTAACATGGTGTAACTATTCTGTGTACAACCAAAAACATGACAGCTTGTTCCCCAAGAGAGGATAGAAAGCCTTTAAGTAATATTCACCCCTCTCCTTTGATTTCCTATAACTTAAATACTGTGGTATAAAGTTAATTACATACACCTTATGCTAGATAATAAGGGCATAAGAAAGAGAAGAAAACAAAACTATTTGGATAATACATATAAGAATATATTTATAATTTTAAAAAAGGAAGCCCTCATTTTGAAACTGGTTGTGTCGTCATAATTTGTATTTATAAAGCACCTCTTCCTGTACCCAGTCCATATTCACTTTGCCCTCAGAATGCACCTCAGCTGGTTATGGTTTGTTGCTTCATAGAGTAATTCAAACTTTCACTCTTGAAGAGTCTGGACAATTAGAAGTCTTGGCTGAATTGGGCTGCTTAGTTTTCCATTAACTAGAAGTCACAGGACATGGTAGTAGTTAGAGATGCCCGAAGCCATCTCCTGCATTGCAGACAGTCTTCTTTACCCCCACAGTGTAGTAGCAGTGAGGTTTTCCCTTGATAATCAGGATCAGTCACTCCAACCAGTTCTGCAACTGCTTTCTTTGCCTCTGACCTAGCGGCATAAAGAGCTCAAAGTGGCCAGTTGGCAGTCATAACTTCCAGTTCAATGGGTTATTGTTATGTATCCTAATGGAAACATTTCTCCCTTTGGAACCAAGATCAGCAGTGCCCTAAGATCACAGTGAAGGGAAGCAAATATTTTGCTAGTCGATCCCTAGCAATAGTAGTGAG
This sequence comes from Homo sapiens, assembly GCF_000001405.40. Taxonomy (NCBI): domain Eukaryota; kingdom Metazoa; phylum Chordata; class Mammalia; order Primates; family Hominidae; genus Homo; species Homo sapiens. Next base: position 9,208,838 of record NC_000006.12, on the reverse strand, counting down.
TGGTGCCACTCACATTTCTGCCTCTTGATTCCTGGACCCATGAGTCCTCGCCATAGGACAAATAGCACCATATATTGGATGCTTGGTTTAGAGCATATACAGCCACCTGGAGAACACGGCCCCAGTTCTGTAAGGCATTTCCACTCAGCCATTGCTGTAACTGAGTCTTTAAAAGGGCATTCCACCACTCTATCAAGCCAGCTGCTTCAGGACAATGGATAACATAATAAAATCAGTGAGTTTCATGAGGATGGGCCCATTGCCACACTTTGTTTGCTGTGAAATGAGTTCCTTAATCAGAAACAGTGCTGGATGAAACAAAATGATACTGGATAAGGCATTCTGTAAGTCCACCAAAGGTAGTTTTGGCAGAAGCATTGTGTGCAGGTCAGGGCAATCCGTACTCAGGATAAATGTCTATTCCAGTAAGAACAAAATATTGGCCCCAGGATAAAAATCCATGAATCAAGCTGCCATCAATTACCTGGCTGATGACCCGAGTGAACTGTGACAGCTTGGGGACTTAGTGTTAGTCTCTAGTGTTGGCATATTGGGCACTCAGCAGTGGCTATAGCCAATTTGGTCTTAGTCTGACTATTTCTTCTTTGAGACAAATGGCCAGGTGCACTGCTTAAATTTCTGCCCTGTGGCAGGACGTTTCTGCACCGCTGTCCTTAAGAATATCTCAGGAAGAGGCTGATGTGCTATAGATGACCAAGTTTCTAGAGGGTGCCTTCAGATCATGCAGAACCATCTGGAACCAGGCCTGAGTTCTTTCTTCCTTAGTCAGTCGATTGTAGGGAACTCTTCATGAGGCCGTAAGTGAGGTCTGAGAGAGAGAAGGCAGCGTAGCAGGAATAGGGGGCGTGGGCATTTGGGACACTTCTTCATGCAGCTTACACTTGCCTTCAGGCTAGTGGTGGAATATTTCAAGAAGAACCCTGGAATATGAAAATTCTCAGAAGGTTCTACCAGGACTTGCTGGTAAAGCAGGAATTGCAGGGATTAGGCCCAGTATCAGCTTGTAAGAAATGGCATTGAAGGGCTAATTATGAATGAAAATAACTCTGCCTTTTGTAGTTACTTATCTCATCTTTTTCTTGAATGTGGATTTTCTTTAATAATGTCCTTAAGGCCAGTTGGCCATGGCCATATCCCAGTCCCATTTCCTGGGTCAAAAATAGAAGATTTTTGTAGTGCCAAGGGGATGTTTTAGAGTTGAAAATATCACTTTAACTCCCAATTTCTCTAAGTCTTCTCAACATATGCCAAACCGCTATTTTGGTTGAAATATACTCCATCCTTTATTAGTATCAGGCTGTGAAGAGGCAGTGTGAATATAATTAGAGACTTTCTTTTAATTTTTGTTAGCAAAAATGGATGTCTTGAATAATGAGTAACTTTTTCTGTTCATTCATGCATTTAATGCCCAGTAGTTCCCAGCTTAACTCAGGAGTACTTGTCTTTTTCATTCCTATACAGCACATAGATAGAAGACACCAAGAACCTACAAGTATGAGTTTACCCAAAACCCTGGGTTTATACTCCCTGAAGATTACACATGTTAAATTCTCTTTTATCTGAGGATTATTAAAAAAAGAATATTTGCCTTATTTTCTTTGTTAATGGCTATATTGCCTCTAAATTGAGTTTTTACTTTTAAGTGTATAATATTGTGTAATAGCTCATGTAATAGAAAAATGCTCATAATATAATTCAACCTATATTAAATAATAATACACCTGGTTTAATCTAAAATTCTGGGCATCATGTTGTCTAACATTCACCATGCAAATTTTATAAATTACATGCAACTGAGCTTGCCAGTTCAATAACAAGAATAAAAGCCAGAACTAAATACTCAACTACTTAGTTTAACAATATATCTATTTTCAAAATGCTCTGACTAGGTTGAATGTTATTTCATGTAAATACATTTAAATCTTTAATCAGGATGACATAAGTTAATCAATTCCTTCATGCAACTATATATTCAACTTTATAAATAACTGTTCATTTATCCTTTGTAACAGAAATAAATGTAAAACTTTAGAATTTGTAAGTTACATATTTGAAACACTTAAGTTGCTTAAGATGTTTTTACAGCTATATTATAAGATAAAATTACTTTTATCTCATTTTAGTTAAAAATTATGTGCAGTATATGTAGTAAAACATTTTGATTATAGTGATTATACAATTTCTGGTAGATATTTTTAGACAATATATTTTTATAAGTGGATATCCAATACCAGCACCATTTGTTGAAAAGATTGTCCTATACCCTATTGACTGCTTTGCAACTTGTGTTGAAAAATTAACAGATCATAAATATAATGATTTACAGATTCCCAGTTCTGCTCTGTTTAACTACATGTCTATCATTATGCCAATATCATATTGGCTTGATTACTGTGGTCTATACTTTATGTTTCTTTATGTTTTGTAGTGGGAAAGTATGAATCCTCCAACTCTGTTCCTTTTCAGAACTGTTTTTGCTTTTCTGGGTCCTTTGCATTTCCACGCAAATGTTAGGGTCAATTTGTCAATTTCTACAGAAAAGCCCGTTAGGATATTAAGGATTGCAGAGAGGCTAAAGATCATGTCCAGAAGAATTAACATCTTAACAGTATTTAATCTTTCATTTCATGAACATGAGTGGATCTCCTTTAATTAGATCTTTAATTTCTCTTGTCAATGTTGTATTCTCTTGCACTTCTTTGGTTCGATTTATCTTAGGTATTCAACTCTTTTCATTCATTAACATCAGACAGCTATGTCTGATGTTAGCTGTAGGTTTTTTGTAGGTGTCCTTTATAAGATTGGCAATAATCTCTTCTATTCCTTATCTGTGAAAATTTTTGTTATGAGTGGGTGCTGGGTTTATCTTTCTGTGTTTATTGAAATTTTCATGTAAATTTTTTCAGCTTTATCCCATCAATTGGGCATATGACATTAATTAGTGTTTCAATGTGAAACCAAATCCTGTATTTCCGGTATGAATCTAACTTGGTCATGGTTTATAATCCCTTCCATATACTGCTGGATTCTGTTTGCTAACATTTTGTTGTTGAGAAATTTTGTATCTATATCTATCTACATGAAAGATATTTGTCCATAATTTATAGTGCATTTGTTTGGCTGTAATATCAGAATAATACTATCCTTATAGTATAAGCTTTGGCAAGTGTTCTCTCCTCTTCTATTTTTCTGAAAGAGTTTGTAATGAATTGTCATTTTTTTCTTTAAATGATTCATAGAATTTACCGAGGAAATTGGGCTTGAGTTTTTCTCTGTAGGAAGACATTTTCATTACTAATTCTATATTTCATTTGTAATATATCAGTTAAGGTTGCTTATTTTTTCTTGAGTCAATTTTGGTACTTTGTCTTTCTAGGAATTTTAAAGTTTCTTCTGATTTGTCTAGCTTGTTGGCATCAACTTGTTCTTACTAATCCCTTATGATCTTTAACATTTCTTTAAGGTCAATAGGAATGTCCTCTCTTTCATTCCTGATTTTTGGTAATTTGTCTGTTCTCTGTTTTACTTTGTTGATTCTAGCAAAGTGTTGTCAATTTTAATGATCTTATCAAAGAACCAACTTTTGATTGAATTAATTTTCTCTGCTGTTTTTCTGCTTTTTATCTCATTGGTTTTTGATCTAGTGTTTATTATTTTCTTCATTCTGCATGCTTTTAGTTTGCTATTCTTTATCTGTTTTCCTAAGGCGAAAGTTTGTTCTTCTAATGTGGGTGTTTAATGCTATACATTTTCCTCTAAGTACTACTTTGGCTTCATCTTGTAAATTTTAATATGTTTTGTTTTTGCTTTTATTCAGTTAAAACCTTATTCTAAATTTCCTTGTGGTCTTGTTGACCCATGGGTTATTTAGAAGTGTGTTGCTTAATTTTCAAATATTTGTGGATTTGTCCAGCTTTTATCAGTTTGTTGATTTCCAATTTAATTTCATTGGGTTGAAGAATATATCTTGCATGCTTTTGATTCCATTAAATTTATTGAGATTTATTTTATAATCAGGCTTATAGTAGCCAGTCTTTATGGCTTGCACCAATGGAGCTGGGTCAGTGGAACTAGAGCACCTTCAGGATAAAACTCCAATCTACTCATATTTGGAGAATTTCTGGAAGAGGCAATAAGTATTTATGACTTAAATGTGGGGAGATAACTCCGTAGCCAAAATTTTTTGATAAGCCTGAACATAATTCCATATAAAACTACAATGTGGGTAAATAACATTGTAAAGAAAAGCTCTGGATAAAAATAGTTATTCTGTCAGAAAATACCCATGGGAAAAGATTTAGATGTGGTTCTAAAAATTGTCTTCATAATTAAAGAGTCAAACACTTTCTTTGATTTCTACCCAGGAAAAAAATATGTATGAATTTACGGTCAGAAGAAAAGCTTGAAGTGAATGATTTAATCCAAACAGAATGTAATGAGTCACCACCTGCATCAGGCTCAATGCCAGATATTGGATCCCAGTACCAGGGAGCTCAAGAAAGATTAAAGAATGTCTACTTAACTAATAGTAGGACATTAAATATTACAGGGCAAATTTTTATTTTTAAAAAATCAAACTGCTGCATTTTACCCAATTTTCATCTACATTAGGAATGCATGATATTTAAAAAAAGAAAATACAAAACTTTCGAGCAAAGTATCTGAGATGACTGTTTTATTATTTTATTTGGTAAAACAAAAATAAATCAACAGTCAAAGAATACTGTTGCCATCCTCTCCAATTGCCACCACCAAAAATGTTAGCAAATAAATATAATCTTTTTATGTTAAAAAGAACCTAAACCCAGGGGTTTTCAGCTCTGAGTAGAAAGACCATTTTTATACCTCCCTCTTCTATCATTTTTCCTCCTTTCTTCCTTCCTTTCCCTCCCTTCTTCCCTCCTTTCTTCTTTCTTTCTTCCTGTCCTCCCTCTTACTCTTTCTTTTCCTGATTTTTCTCTTTCTCCTCCTCCCCCTCTTTCTTTCCCTCCCTTCAGGAAAATAGAAAGCCAATATATTGAGCTGAAATATCTCAGGCTTTAAATGAAGACGGTGGCCCCCAACTAATGTCCGAGTTAAAATATTCAGTACAAAGATATACATTAGCTTTGACACTGATTCAGCCCAGACCAAAAGCTGGAGAATACATTAGTTTTTAAGATTTGAATTACAATTATGGTTTTTGCAGTAAATAAGATTCAGAATAAAATTTTACAAAAGCAAAACAACTCAAGTAAAAAAAATACGGTGCTTTGATAAATCTCAAATTTAAATATTGCTTCAATATTCTTTATTTTATTGTGATTAAAATTTTCTGAAGTTTTGCTAAAGAGATCAATCTTTTAAACGTCTTGACTTTATATTTTTACTATGGTCCTGACACTATACTCTGTGTGGTGACAGGCACAACATGTGTAGGATTTGCCCCCTTGCCATATAGGAGCTGACAATAGAATGGTGAAACGCCATTGCAAGTGACAATAACAACAAATACTGGACAACACATGAGGAGAAGCAGAGTACTAACAAATCATAGATGTAGAAGAGAATTTCCATTTGGGACTATTAAAAACGTTTATAGCTTGAAATAATAAAATTGATTTAATTGTATTTGCATTCATTAGAAATGATACTATTTTAGGCTATTCTGCTATCCTCTGCAGCAAGGTGAGGATGGAACTACTCATGCTTTCACTTATTGGTGTCTCTACTAAATATGCAAAACATAGTATAATTAATTTATAATTTAAAAAGTCTTATTATTTTAGAACTCGATGAATATCTTGAATGATTAACTAAACTTTGGTTTGTTGACTTCAAAAATGAATTTTTCCCAGACTTATTTTTTATTTTGTTTTGAAATCAGAGTACAATTTTAAGAAAAATTTAACCCACATGTTTTTATTCATCACTGCTTAAATTATTTAAGTACATTATTGTTTTTCATGGATATTTTATGTTCTAAAGACGTCTTGAGCTATTTTAATAACATTGTTATTCTCATAAAACACAATAGTTATTTTTTAACCAGAGAATTACAAAACAGTCTGGAAGAAAAATAAACCTCAAGTCTTGACTCTTTGAACACTTTTTTTTTAAGTATGTTGCTACCACAGTTAAAAGACCATGGGTGTAGCCACCTTAGGAAAGAGAAAAGAGTTGGACCCAAACCAGTACAAGCCATTTGTGGAATAGCTTCCTTTTCCATTTACGAACAAAGAGCACATTCAGGTTTACAACTGAACGCAGGAGTATGAAGAATCACTAGGCTTGTTCATAGTTATTCAAGTAAAATTATTTGAGATGCATTTAGTGATGAAACCACGTCAAAATACAAAATATTTATAAGGGGAGAAAGAGCTCCATTTAGTAAATATGTAAGAATGATAGAGATTCTCTTCATAGTCAGGAGAAGCCAGCCTGACACAGGCTGGTGGCAACATCAGGGCTTTCAGAATGAATCTACGCATGGACACCATGCATAGATTTTTCATCTAATCACTGCACAGCCCAACACAGCCACAGCCATAGAGAAGTAATGTAAGAAATAAATAGCTAGATGGACTGGATTACATGCAGGTGAACTAGGCCATTGCTAGTGAGATCGGGAAGTGGTTCATCATGGAAATTTCTCTTCACACAGTTTGTAATCTGGCATTCCATGATTAGGAATTTATTTCTTTGGCTAGAAGCTTTGCACTCTATAACAATTTAAATCATTCCATTGAAAAAACATAATAATCCTTCTTAGTCAATGAACATTAGTGATGAAGTTTATCAAATTCTTTACAGTTGTGATGGGAAAGAACAAATTTTGTTTTTTGGGGAGAGTTTTGATAGACTACATATATCTGTAAAAGTCTTTAAAAATGCACTTAATTTCCTAAGATCCCATCCATATAGATTTAAAAAGGCAGAATAAAAATGAAACTTTCTACCATGTTCATAGTCAATTCCAAAAGCAATCTGTCAAGGGAATTCTGTAGTTGGTTGAGTTATTTATAATCTAATAAGATCAGATGATATTTTCTGGTACAGTTCTCTTGGTGTAAATCTTCATGAACAATACCAGTTTAAGGTTTTTTTTCTTCTGCTGAAGGCAAAATATCCAGACAGCAGTTAGATATTTTTTAAAAATCTTTTAAATATTATTTTTTAATTAAATAACTGTAAATATTTATGGGTAAAATGTGCTATTTTGATATATGTATACAACCCATGTAGTCCTCCCTCTACTCTGAAGAAAATAGATATTGACCCAGCTCTACTGGGGTAGGTTTATTGTATACAAAGGTGTAAGTTTTCTGCCAAAGGCTTAAGAGTTATCATCAAAACACTAGAGGCACAAATCTAAACTCTAGAAAGCATGTGTGGCAACTCCCAAATCTGTCTCATAATAGATGCCTGGTAATAGTAATGTCTGAATTTTTTTTAAATTTGGGATCTTTTCAAACATTATATTTGTATATTTCCTCATTTTATCACTGCATTTTCATAGAGGAAGATATAAATCAACAATTTTTACTGATGTAGTAATTGAATCTTAGAGTAGCTATGACAACCAAATCTTTAAAAAAAGAAAAAGTGCCTGTGGTTCTATTCTATGAACTACAGTTCCTTTCTTATTCAGGCATCTCCTTCTTTGTTTCCCAATGCAAGACACAGAAATCTCTCAAGGTTTCCTTTAAGAATATATTTCTACACTTTTCAGAATAAAGTTTCTGAAGTCCATTCTAGGGGCAGGTAAGAGCCCAGACTCTGGACATTTAAAACTACCCATGGGATCTAACATCTGAGTACCATGATAGATTCTTTTTGCCCTTCTCTCTTATTTCAGTGCACCTGAACTGAAGTTGTAATTCTTGGAGAGTTTCAGAATGGGAATGCAGACCTGGGTGCTAGCTACTCTCTGCATGTTAAAAGGTAATTGAATAGGAGCAAATACAAGTACAATTGGATATGTAGGCTAGAGGCACTAAGTTGCAGTCTCAAAGAGGTCACACTGAAATGAATTTTTTAAAAGAACTATAAAATTGCATCTAAGATAGATGGGAAGCAAAAGCAATATTTAAATGAAATTGTTATGGATATAAGTCACTTTTCAAGCATTATAACTACTTCTAACATAAAATATGTTTTCACTTCATATATAAAACATTGTTATTATTCACATCTTATGACATGTTAACATATTAAAACTTAAATGTTTAATGCATATATTAAAATTTTGTGTCATCATTAACCCAGCTGATGAATTCTTTTTGGAAAAAAAAATGGAAAAGATGTATCAAGACAGATAATTTTTACAATTAAAATAAAAATATGTAACTTAAAGTATAGTGAGATAAAAATGTCTGATTCAAAGTTCCAAATCCCCTTTTCTCTTTTCTCTCTCTGTTTTTCTCACAGGAATCCTACTGCCATTTGTTTTCCTATTAAATGACATTTCAAATACTTTATTATAAACATAAATCACATCTTTCAAGAAGGTAAATGACAAACCAAATTTGAGATCTGGCTTGCATTTCTACACCCTACCCAAGACTAAATAGATGAACAGTTGCTTTATAGATTGTAACTGAAAGATAAACAAAGAGAGACAGTATATTATAGAAAACACATCACTTGAAACTGACATCTGCCCTTTAATTCACGAACATCATCCAAAACCCTGTCACTTCACTTGACATCTGTTACATACCCTGATGCATGAAGTTGTGGAAAAGAGCAATCTTATTTGCAGTTGGTGAGAAAAAAAATTATATATACATATATATGTGTGTGTGTGTGTGTGTGTGTGTAAACTTTTTAAACTGCTTTACCTATAGATATGAGTTCATCTTCATCAGTGTTTTAAAAAGACAATGCTGTTGTTCACACACTAGTCCACCTACATCTAGTAATGGATGCTGAGATGCTAAAAGTCCTCTGTGCCCAAATAAACATCCTCTGTGATATAGAAAACTTCCACTATTAATTTTATTTCTTTGAATTAAAGCATCTCAAGAAGATTCTCATGAGATGTCCACATAGAACCTGGGATGAGTCACTCATGAATACATTTGTACTAATTATCATCAGTTATTACATTAATGGAGAAAGGTTCCTTTGAAGCAGAAAAAGGAAGAACTGCAATAGAATGAGACAATGAGTGAGAGACATCTGGAGTCTATACGTAGACCTTTGCTACCTGCAGTGCAACCGTTTCAGCCTCACCTGGGAAATTGTTAGAAATGCAAATTCTCAGGTTCCACCCAGTCCCTACTAAAGTGGCATGCTTGGGAGTGAAGCCCAGGAATCTGCATTTTAACAAGCTCTTGAGATGCTTCTGATGCTTGCTAACATTTGTCAAGCACTGGTCTAAACTTGAGAATAGTGGGATCCACTGGCAGATTAAGAGTGGATAAGTAGACCTGGAAGAAGTATCTCACACACCACTTATGTTTATTTTACACATTTATTTACATTTGCCATGATTTCAGTTATGTTTAACCTCAAACATAATACAAAATTAAATTGCCAGTATAAATTTATACCCCAAAACTCCTACGATATTTGCATATGTCATAATGACATCACTGGTTAAAAATGCTTACATTTAACAAGTATATAATTTCAGAAGTTTTGGGAGTGTTCCCGACGGCAATTAAAATTTTAAAGAATCATTATCTATGCAAGCGTTGTTATATCTGAAGCCACTGCTAAGTCTTTGAGCATTAATGGTACAAAAACAAAATGATAATAAACCACCAAAAAATACTACCTGGAATCAAAGGGTTTAAAGAGACTTGTGAAGTCATCCATAATCTCTCAGCTTGTAGATTCTAATTGTGCTCACTAAGGGTGAGTCCTTCTACACAGGAGATTTGGCTCTGAAGAAGATGAAGCTGGTGACTCAGCAAGAAGAGGGTGGACTGGGCTGGAGATGGGCTGCCTTGGCCTCAGGACACAGGAGCTGAACTGAGGCCCCCTGACTAGGAAGCACCTTTCTTCCCTAAATCTGCCATGGACTTTGATTAGGAGGGTTCTTACCGGCTTCCTGTGGGGACAAACTATTGGCTCTGTGGCAACTTGGAAATCACTTCTGCTCCTTAAAAAAATCTAAGATTTTGTCCAGGCATGGTGGCTCACACCTGTAATTCCAACATTTTGGGAGGCCAAGACGGGAGGATCATGAGGTCAGGAGTTGGAGACCAGCCTGACCAACATGGTCAAACCCCGTCTCTACTAAAAATACAAAAATTAGCTGGGCATGGTGGTGTGCTCCTGTAATCCCAGCTACTCAGGGGGCTAAGGCAGGAGAATCACTTGAACCCGGGAGGTGGAGGTTGCAGTGAGCTGAGATCACATCACTGCACTCCAACCTGGGTGAAAGCATGAGACTCCGTCTCAAAATATATATATAAGATTTTAAAAAATGGATTTGTTTTCCTCAAAATGAAGGATTGTAGTAGATCAATGTTTTCTTATTACAGAAACAAATTATGTAATTTATAGAAAAAGTGGGAAATCCAGGTAAACAAAGTACAAAATAAACACTGACATACTTCCTTCCCAGGGATGAGCAGTTACTTTAGCATATATCTCTGCAGATCTTTTTGTTGTTGTTTTACAAAAATAAAGTCAATACTGTATGTTATCATCTACGTTGTTCACCTATCAATATGTCCTAACACGTTTTCATGTCAATAATTGCTCTTCTGTAACACCTTTAATGGCTACTGAGCGTTCCATTTTATGGTTGTATCATAATTTATTTACCAAATTCCCAATTGTTTCCTATACGCAATTTCTAATTTGTCACTATTATAAAGTGTGTTCTGGTGATTCATCCTGATAGTTATGTTTTTATGCCTGTCCTTAAAAATTCCCAACAATAAATTTGTAAAATATTTAACACGTGTGTATTACTAAATACCTAGTCATCAGTTGACCCATCTTACTCAAATTAAGAAAATACTATGTGTACTTACCATTGAACTTCATCTTGTTAGATCTAGTTCATTCCTCAAGCCTGCAGGGAAGTTGTCAGAGCCCAATTTTATAATCAAAGGAAGTCACTGCTCTACCCTACTTCATGGCATCTGGAAATTTTGTACATAAGTCTTTCGCATGTGCACAATTTTAATAAGATATCCTAGAAGCACGACAATTTTAAAGTTCATATTCTTTTAGATTTTAGAAAGAGAATAATCATATTCTATATACTATATATAGATGTTCCTGCTATGATTCCATATGTGTGTTACTGGAAAACCTTGTGTCCCACAAGCTGGTACACTAAACTTAATAAGGCCTATGGGGAAAATAGGTTTGTGGTAGACCCCCCAAATCCTTTGGAATTTTGTAATCAAAATATTAACAACAAAAGCAACAAAAAGCAGTTTTAATGAAAATGTAGCATAGCCAATCTTTACTGACATTTACACGCAGTGCCCCAGTTAGTCAATCCTTTACAAAATGAAATCATGGAGCTCTTGCTTTGTAGGGAAAGAAGTAATGAAGGATGTTTACTTTTAATAGTGACCATTTAAAAAAAAAACCACTTTGATTTAAGGTGTAGCCTTCATTTATCTGCTATTTAATATAAGAGGAGGAGTTATCTTCGCAGAATTTTTGTTTACACTTGTAGGTTTTCCTGATATCTAAACCTAGTGGTTCCAGAAATTTAGTGGTTGTAGATGCCACTAAGACAGCTACTACTAGTACTTGCATTTTTCTGGGTTTTCAGCTTATTTTATTAAAATTATACATTTCCAGGGTCTTATTATGTTTTATTTTATTTTATTATTTTATTTTTGAGACAGAGTTTTGCCCTTGTTATCCAGGCTGGAGTGCAATGGCGCGATCTCGGCTCACTGCAACCTCCACCTCCCAGGTTCAAGCAATTCTCCTGCCTCAGCCTCCTGAGTAGCTGGGATTACAGGCATGCATCACCATGCCCAGCTAATTTTTTGTATTTTTAGTAGAGATGGGGTTTCACTATGTTGGCCAGGCTGGTCTCAAACTCTTGACCTCAGGTGATCCACTTCCCTCAGCCTCCCTGTGCTGGTATTATAGGCATGAGCCACCACGCCCAGCCCAGGTCTTATCTTTAATTGTGAGAAAAGTTGCCCAAACTGCTTCAAAATACTAACATGCTATGAAAAGACTAAACCAAAAGGAATTCTATGTTACATTGGCATAATTCTCCCATTTTCAATAGAATATGAGTCAATTTATATTAAAGAAGCATAAATTATGGCAGAACAAACTGCATTGTCAACACTCCACTGATATTTAGGGTATCACCCTATAAGCTGATTCATTAGTATTTGTTCAGCAAAAATTAGAATCTTCATAGTAAGCAGAATCAATAAAGAGACTCACATTAGTTCATTCAGCGTGTACACTGATGAATTCAACTCCCATGAGCTTTTATCACCAAAAAATACAGGGAAAACCCTTTTAGATTTTGATACAGCAGCTAGTGAATAATAGACCTTTAACCCTTCATCAAGGCCCTAGTGAAAGTTTGCACAAGGCAGTTATGACAGAATACAGCAGTCCACCAGTTACACTAATCAGTGAGTTCTCACCTGCCCCTGGTTAAAAAGCCTGGCATTCTTGCATTAAGTCAACTTCAATTTATAAATGTTGGAAACTTCTCATTTCCACATGCCTAGACACAACTCCTGGATTCAAGACCCCAGTCATTCGGTCTTGCCTGACCTCCTCACTGTTAGCCCCACTGCTCCTTTCAGAAAACTCTCTTTACAGCATGCCAACAGGTTACAATGGCCTTGGAATAAGATTTCCTGTTCCCAGGCTTGCACTTCTCTAGTTTTTTTATGTGTTTGTTTGTTTTACCTAGAATTACATTCCTCACTCCTCTCTGTGTCCAAATTTTTAGTCTCAATTAATTATATGATAACCCTGTTCTTAGTAACTCCTTCTCAATTACTATAGAACTAATTACTAATTACCTATGATAATCATATCACACTCAATATATAAAGGCTTGTAATTTCATATATACGTATTATAGATAACAATTCTTCCCATTTCTCTATCCTGGGCTTTTGTGTGTTGTTTCTATAGCAGAAGACCATGCCATTTATGTATTTATAAGTCATTTATAAAATGTATTTATAACTCATTTGCATCTGTTAGTGTACTCCCAATAAACAGACTTATTTATCAGCTGGCAAGAAGTTAATATCTTGACTTCAAAGGAGGGGTGGAAGCAGAATTCCTTCCTTTTAAAGAGACCTCAATTTTTTCTCTTAAAGCCTTCAACTGATTGGATGAGGCCCACCTTCATTATGAAGAGAGATCTGCTTAAAATCCAAAGATTTAAATGTTAACTACATCTAAAATATACCTTCACAGAAATATCTAGATTAGTGTTTGACCAAACTACTGGCCATCATAGCCTATCCAAGTTGATACATAACGTTAATCATCACATCATTTGACCATTCCCCTTCTAATAGTTATTTAGATTATTTCTGGATAGTTAGCCATTATAAAAATTGCTACATTGAGTAAGCTTGTGCATGGCAAGTTCATATATTCACAAGCATATCTTTGCTATACATTCCTATAATTGTGGGGTCAATTATTAGGTGAATTTGCTATTTTGAGGAATATTAGCAAATTGCTTTTCATAGTGGTTGTACCAATATACACTTACATCAGCAGTGTACAAGAGTTTCTGCTTCATCAAACCATCCCCAACATAATGTATTACCAAACTTTTTGAAATTTCACAAAATGAGAGTTGACAAATAGTATCATATTGATTTTCTCTCATTATGAATGAGGTGGAGCTTCTATTAAAATGTTTAACAAGCACTTATACTTTTTGTGAATAAATTGTTCATATCCTTTGTCTATTTCCCATTGTCTTATTGATATTTCTATAAGTTAGAGTTAGTTCTATAATAATTAAAATTACAAAATATATGTTTTTGAGTTGCAAATATCTCACAAAGTTCTGTTTCCATTAGTATATTTTCATCATTAGGATTTTTAATAAGAGCTTTTAGGCATTTCAACAGTTTGAATACATTTTAATTAAAATTTTACATAAACATAAGGAATTTGAAACATTACATGTATACAGATCAATGAATTTTCATTAAGTGAGTAAAGTTAACCTTTGTAAATACCATTCAGAGTAAGAAATAGTGCTCCATAGATACTTCCCCAAATGACACTTCCAGTTACTATCAGTTCCTCCCCAAAGGTAAAGCCACCAACATACATCAGTTACACCTGGGTTTAATATTTACATGTTTGTTTATAATATTTATTATGTTTATTATATATAAAATTATATGATTTCAAAAAGTTATATAAAGAATCTGTATTTTTTGTGTGTTTGGCTTCTTTTGCCCAAATTCTATTTATAAGATTCATCCAGCTGGGTGCGGTGGCTCATGCCTGTAATCCCAGCACTTTGGGAGGCCGAGGCGAGCGGATCACAAGGTCAGGAGATTGAGACCATCCTGGCCAACATGGTGAAACCCCGTCTCTACCAAAAATACAAAAAATTAGCCGGGCGTGTTGGCAGGCGCCTGTAGTCCCAGCTACCCGGGAGGCTGAGGCAGGAGAATGGCGTGAACCCGGGAGGCAGAGCTTGCAGTGAGCCGAGATCGCACCACTGCACTCCAGCCTGGGTGACAGAGTGAGACTCCGTCTCAAAAAAAAAAAAAGATTCATCCCTGTTATTTTATATTACATTATATATAATTACTTTATCCTCAATACTGTATGTGTTAATATATTATAATTTATTAACTCATCAACTCTTAAAAGCCATTTAGGCTTTTGCTATTTTTAACTACTTTAAGAATGCTGCTAGAACATGCCTGCATCTTTTAGAGACTATATGCATAAATTTCTGCTGACTACATATTTCAGAGTGGAACTGCTGGGTCAAAGGGTACGGTTGTGCTCAACGTTAGTAAGTACTATGAACAAATGATAAATTGTGATTGTAAAATTTTAAACTCTCATCATCAACAGTGTAGCTATCATTTTAATGTTAGCTCCTCTATATAGTGGTCCCTTATTGTGTGTGTGTATGTGTGTTGTATTCTTCTGATGACTAATGAGGGTGATAACTTTTTTGGACTGTCTCTATTTAACATTTATTTTAAATTTCATTATTTTATTGTCTGCCAACTGAAAGTTTGATATGTGTTCTTTCTCTTCCTGCTTGAAAGGGGAAATTGGATAACTGATTTTTATCCATTCTTCTTTTTTTAAGATAGAAATTTAAGGCTATAAATTTTCTTCTAAGCAGATAGCTGCATTCCTAAAGGTTTGATACTTTATATTTTTTTCTGACATTTAATCAAAGTTTTTCTAATGTCTATTCTTTTTTTTTTTAAAAAATTATGCATTACTTAAAAGTGCTTTGTTTAATCTCCAAGCTGTTGGGGGGATTTTTTAGTTTTCTTCTTACTGATTTCTAACTTAATTTCACTGTGGTCAAAGAATATATTTTGAATGTCTTAAAATCTTTGAAATGTGTCGAGCTTTGCTTTATGATCCAGCATGTGGTCAATTTTGCTAAATGTTCCATGTGTGCTCTGTTGTCATTGGATGCAGTATTCTGATGTCAATTAGATCAGATGGGTAACTGTGTTTGTGGGGGACATAGTAAAAGACGGCCTTCAATTATCCTTGCCCCCTGATAATCAAACCCTTACGTAATTCTCTCCACTTGAATGCTGGTGGATCCTGTGACTTGCTTCTCACCAATAGAATAGGATTATAAGATTGTATCATCCAGTCACTTTCGCTTTGTGATTTTGATGAAGAAAGCAGCCCTGTTGGAAAGGCCCATGTGAGAAGAAACTGAGACTAACAACTGAGGCTAAAATGAGGTTGACCTCTAGCTAATAGGCAACAAGAAGCTAGGGACCTTGATCTAACAGCCTGCAAGAAAGAGAACTATGCCAAGAAGGGTGTGATCTTGGAAGTAAATCCTTCCCCAGTCAAACATTGAGATGAGGCTGCAACTCCATTGGACACCTTGATTGCGATTCTCACATGAGCCTCTGAGGCAGAGAGAACTATACAAACAGTGCCAGGCTCTTGACCCACAAAAACTGTGAGATAGTAAGGTATGTTGTTTGAATTAGGCTCTTTTGTTTAAACCCCACAAACATACTTTGTTGCTATTTGTTTTCAATGCGTCACCATTTATATGACTAAGTCACCCTCCTCTGTCTCTAATTCTTTTCATCTTCTCACGTCTTCTACCAGTTGAATGTAGATAGCCTCTGAGACTCAGAGTTCCAATTTCTGGAAATAAAAATATGATGGATTTAGATGATCTTTATTCTCTTTTTCCAGATAGTACTTTCACACAAGTCTATTTTCCAGGTTTCTCAGCAGCAGATAACACCGCTGCTTTTGTATTGATGAACATTCGTAGTCCACTGATACAGAAGGGCAGGGATGGTGTCATGACATCATGTTCTCAGTGCCTTCTGGGGCCACTTTTTTTTTAGCAAGAAATTATAGACAGCAACCCCTCTGGAATGGGGATTTGCAGTATGACAGGCTTTGAATAGATTGGACAAGCCTCTAACACACACTCTATTTGGTGTTCTATCTGTTTTTGCATTTATCTATAACTTTTCCCTATGGAACTCATGATATAAGGATCTGTATAGCTCTTGTGTGCCTCTATATCCTGCTATTTTCATGGCAGGTATTGCCTTGAAAGGTTTATAAATGGAGAGAAACTGAGGAACTGGCTCATGGATAAAATTCCATGTCTGGCAAACCTAGAAAGTAGATATCATGGCCATATATTTTTCTTGTCGATGCAACCTCTGCATTTAGGTTTATGTAAAGACAGTGAGACTAACTTAAAGGCTTTTATTCTGCCTACTTAGGGAAATCTGTCCTGGTTGATTGTATCAATTTTTCCCAAGAAGTTTTTCACTTCTCTGCCCCTCTTCATTAATTACAGGGATAATAGAAGCACTGGGTATACATAGGCATATACATTTTTGCTGTATTTTCTCTATAGAGTCTTTGCTACTTTTTGATTTTTATATGCCTCAGGGGTATATAAATCTTTTCTTTTAATAGGACATTATATTTTGATATATTTTAGTGGATGTTAGGGAAAGACAGTTTTTAACTGTCATGATAAACTGCAAGTTCTCTTGACTGATTTTCCTGATTGACTTCGTGCAATTCTATTTTTCCTTTTTTGAAAAAAATATTTTCATCTTTCTCATTGTAAAAAAAAAGTTCTCATGTTATCTTCTTTTTCCTCATAACTGAATTAACCATTCAGGGAAGCTCTTCAGTGAAGATGTATTTTAAAGAGGATTCCTTCATTCAAAGCCAACTACCAGTATTTGTTATTTCAGACCTATGCCATTCATTTATTCAATTTCCCAGCAAGAATATTTGGAAATCCTGAATTTATTCTATTTGATGACATTGCCTATATAATATCTGATCAACAAATTTAATTCAATGCATTGTCTAAAATACTATTCTAATCTCTTTCTGTTTCCTAATTCAGGGCCATTGCTTTGGTTCAAGTCTTCATAACTTCTTTCCTGCAGAAGTAAAATCTCCCATCCTTAACTCTTTCTTCTTTGAGTTGATCTCTGTGGTCCACCCATTCTAATGGGGTTAACATCCTTTAGTGTAACCCCAATTGCCCAAAATGTTATGTTCAAGTTTCTTAACATGATCTTGAGACTTTACCCTGTGACTTTATTTCTCTTCTTAAACCTCAAGAATGAACTGCTTAATTCTCTGAAACGCATGATATTCTGTTGTGTGATTTTTTTTCTGGCTAAGATTCTGGTAAAATTTACTCATCATTCAAAACTCACACTAAGTAACACTTTCTATCCCCACACTCAGACAAGAATAATCATTGTTTTCCCTCTGTGCTCCTATAGAATTTTGTATCTATCATAACAAATCTTAAGAGTTTTTCTGTTTCTTTTTCTTTTGTTTCAACATTTTTTGTCCTCAAGACTTTCACAATTCTTCAGGGAAAGTTCTGTGTTTTATTCTTTGTTCCATCAGCATATAATATACTGGTGAACATTCTGGAAAAAAAATAACATTTTAATGGATAAAAATATAAATGATCAAATGCCTCTGGATCAGTATAAATCCATCATCGCTTTTAAAAAATGTCTAGAGTATATCCTTCAGGTAGTAGGAAAACAAATTTATTTTTCTTTATAAAGGAAAAATAAAATTCTGTGGATAATATTAAATATCTTGTTCCACTGAGGTATTTATGAGGTTTCTGAATTGACTTGAAATTTCTCCCTCAAAACAAATCTTAGATACAAGTCAAGTGTTCTTAGGGGGCTGATACTAGAAAAAGAAACAAAAAGCAAACCAAACATTAGGTTTTAGTCTAAGAATTTGAGTGCTTTTTTAAACCCACGAATATAATCAGATTTATATTTATTTTTACAGAAATGTTTGCTCAGCTAATGCATTCCTAATCAAATAATGGGTGTTCCATGATGGAAATTTCAAATAAAGTTCTTAAGGCTGTCAAAAACTAAATAAGCTAACCAGAATTATATTTCTTTGTTTCCTGGTGGATCTCATAAATGCTTCAAGAGGAATACAGCGTACTTAGAAAGAGGCCAGATAGGCACTCAAGTGCAAGTGTACTCCTCCATTCTTCACCCTCAACCAATGACTTCATACATATATTCTGGTGAAATATGTCTCTTTTTGAATTGGCAAATATCTCCATGATCTATCACATTTTAAAATTATTTGTGTTTGTTTCAAACAAACTCCATGTCATCGCAAAATTAAAACTACAATTCCATTTACTAATCTACTTTGTATTTAAAAAGAGTATCGTATGGCTAGTCACATGAATTTTAACCCATTAGTGTGAATGATGATCAATTAATTTTTAACTTAGAGTGCACAAACACAGAATACATCCTGTTAAATGTAACTTTAGATGATTTTGAAGTTGACTTTGTTGAATCTTAAAAAGTCTTTGGCATGATTCATTCAGCTCATTGGAGTTTTTCAATTAAGCTCTTCTAAGCCTAACTTTTGAGACACAACAATCGCAGAAAACTTACTAACACAGTATTCTTGAATGCCAAAATGGAGACACTGTAGACTACAGCCTATTACCAATGAAATACTCATGAAAACAACAGCACTTTATTTTCCATTTTGTGATTCATAGGACATTAGTAATTAAGACAAGTTTTATGAGGCATCCTTTTGCAAGATTTGATTAAAATAGATTTGAAAGCACTGAAATGAAATGGCACCAGTTCAGATTGTCTGTGTTTACTCTTGTTTGAAATCTTTCTCAATGGGAGGTGCCAGAACAGTGGGCCACAAGTTCAACTTTTGTAAGTTTGAGAACCTTATTTATTTGAGAAGAATCTGGTTCACATGTTATAAGACAATCTGAGCAAAATAAGATTGATGTCCTATGAGCTCATGAGACATTAGGACAATAAGCCATAGAAGGAGACAGCCAAGATAACATGTCACATCACTAGGACCCCAAAAAGCTCAAGTCTCTGAAGTTTTTGTTGTTGTTGTTGTTTTCAGTCTATCCAAGACAGGAAAAAATGATCACATGACGCTTAAGGAAATCTTTGACCTCTAAAATTAAAACATTAAAAATCAATAGTAAAGAAGAAAGTTATGTAAAGACTGTCCTTAAGTATGTTTCTTGCAAAGTCACAGTCACTCTTGGCAAACTTATTTTTAAATGGCAGTAACAAGAACAATAGTAGTACCTACCTTCTGGCTCTACCTCTCATGTTCCAGTTACTGTGGAACTCATGTTCTGGTTACCCTTTATTTCCTGTCATCTTCACAACAGATTTCAATGACTTTTGGGGCGGGGGGGCAGGTAAAGAAATTGAGACTTCAAGACTTCAAAAAGTAGCAATTTTTCCAAGACCACATCCCTAGAAGTGGAGGAGGTGAAATGTGATCTTAGGTATGTCCAATTCCAAAATCACCTCTTCACACAGAAAAGACAGACTGCCTCATTTAATTTAAATGGATAAAAATCAGTGTGCTCCGAGGTTAGCAGCTGATAAGTGCAAGAGAGACTGTTCCCATTGCTGCATGACACTGATGCTGGGTACCATCACTGCCTAGGTGAGCCCCGGCTGCTCTGCTGCTGCTCCTGCTGCCGTGTGTCCCTGGGATGGGTCCTCAGCTATCAGTCCTCTCTTTGTCCCAGGCCTCAGATTCAGGGCCTGGGTAGGAACATTCAGTTGGCCAAATGTTGGCCATATGGTTGTGTCGTGGCTGTCAGAGGTGGGGGAGGGAATATCTGCCTCCTGTCGGGCTGCAGCCCACCAGGATCCACAAATAATACATGCAAATAAGAACTCCAGAAAACAGGAAGCTTCCAATTCTGCCTCTGCAACTTTTTGACCATATGATCTCAGCCACCATCCTTACTTGTCTGCATATTAAAGTAACATCCTCTTAACTGGTGCACCTATGGCTTCATCTTGTCTCTCCATTCACAACAGAGTAGCCAGAGGACTCCTTTTAAAACACGTCAGATTGTGTTACTTCTTTGCTCAAAATCCTTTGGTGGGTTCTCATCTTGCTGAGAGTGAAAACTTAAATCCAATTTTCAGATATGTTGGCAGGAGTAAGGGAGCAACCAAGGAGAGATATTGAGGTAGTCAGGGGCTAGCAAGATTAGAAAGCTGTTTTTACCCCTAGATGTAAATGTTTACTTCAGTTCCCATTGGCCCCCGAGTCCCATGGGGATGATGTGGAGGCAGACCCAGGCGGGTGCTCCACACACAGTGGGTTTGTGTCACTTTGGAGGAACTGCAAGCTTAAGAGACTCCAGTCTTAGAAGTGAGCTGCTAGTAAACCAACCTATGTTTCATAATAAAGTCATTCTCTTATTATACTGGATATCAAATGAACCTGCTCTCCACTTCAGAGGAAGAGGCCTTCTCTACCTTCCAAGGCTGTTCGTTTGATCTGAGATAAAAGCTGCCACAAGACAAGCTGAAACAGAACTGATAATGGAGAAGCATCTTCCAAAATATGCTAGCTAGGTATATGCCTATAGTTTAATGTTCCCTATACATTTTAAGATGTCCAAAATATCTCATAACAATATATTAAGATAACATGAACTTTTTACATAGTTGGCCCTGGGTACTAATATATGTTAGATGGAACTCGCTAGTTATGCTGTTTTAATCTACTTGTACTAATTATTTTCTATTAGATCTCTGATAATGAGAGAAGTTCTTAAAATGCTTCATTATTTTGGATTTTTAATTTTATCTTTATATTTCTTTCAATTTTGGCTTCGTATATTTTATCAAGATGTTTCTTGGAACATAAAAGGTGTTTGTTTTTATTTTTTTCTGATGAGCTGTTAAATTTGTTACATATCATTCTCTATGTCTATAATAGTGCTTTTGTCTTAAAGATTATTTTCTTCTAATGATAGTTATTGCTACGCTTGATTTATTCTGTGAGCATATCAATTAGAATCCTGGCTGGAAATAGATGGTCCACTAAAGCTGAGTTATTGAGGATATTTTAATGAAGAGAATATTTATACAGTAGTGGACAAGATCTGGGGAAACTAGGAATTTCTGTAGTACCTGGAGTTACGGGATTTTAGTTCCACGTATTTTGAAATCTCCCCTTTCCCACCCCAACAGTTACTATTACTGTTTAATGGAGGTGACATCGCACAGTAAATTCATTAAAAAGTTTTATATTTCTCACAAACCTGTCTGTCCACTTCATTCTGTCAGGTTTCCTTTCCCAGTCTCTGGTTTATGTCTCAGGTATAGCCGCTAGCTTATCTAGCAACTTTTAGGCACTGCAACAGCTATTTTAAACCTTAAGACATCCAAATGACATGTAATCTGAACTTCAGTCTCTCATCTTATTGGAAACTTCTACTACTACTCAAATCTGACTTGTGAATTCTGCTAACCCTCTATGCTACTTTTTCTCCACTCAACTGGGGCGTGGCAAATATTCAAATACTGGCTTTTCAATGGTGGAGTTCTTTTAAGGCTTTTTCCAATAAATCCTCCCATATTTTTCCAGAGATCATAGAATTCCTTAAGTGACACAATCCCTTCTGGTCTCTCAGCATTCACTTGGGTTCCTGGCTTCGTGCTACGTTCCATGTGTATTGGTGTTCTATTGCTGTGTAACAAATTACCACAGACTCAGCAGCTTAAAACAATACCCATGTATTACATAATATCACAGTTCCGTAAGTCAAAAGTTAAGGCAAGTTCAATTGTGTTCTCTACTGAAATTGAGGCATTGACCATTCAGGGCCTTATCTGGAGGCTCTAGGGAAGAATCTGCTGCCAAGCTTTTAGAAATTACCAGCAGAATTCAGTCTCTTGTGATTGTAGGACTGTGGTTGATGTTTCCTTGCTTTCTGTCAGCTAGAGACTTTGCTAGGTCTCTAGAGGCTGTCCTCCCTCAAAGCCAGCAATGGTGTGTTGAAATCTTCTCATGCTTCAAACCTTTCTGACTTCCTCATTCTGTTAGAAGCACAGATCATAAAGCATCTATTTGTACTATGTGCAGATAAATATTTTGTAAACTTTCCAAAATTATAGCAGAAAATTGGTAACCATAAACTGTTACAGAGCTGATTAAAGAAAAACTAGAATTTCTAGTTTGAAATGAAAATTATTATGTGAAAAGAGGCTTCAGACCCTGAATATTCTACCGAAAGAAAGCAGATTGACAAAACTATTGAGCTATAAACACATACTACCTTTTAGGTAAGAGAAAGGGAGACTTAAGGGGTAAAATGTGGAGAGCAGAAAACTCTCCAATTTATTGTTTATTTAATTAATTTATTTTTAGAGATGGGTTCTCTCTATGTTGCCCATGCTGAAGTAAAGTGGCTAGTTACGGGAGTGACTGTGGTACACTGCAGCCTCAAATTCCCAGGCTCAAACCATCCTCCCATCTCAGACTCCCAAGAAGCTGGGACTAACAGGCATGTGCCATTACACCCAGCTCAAACTATAGTTTTAAAGGGTTTAAATGGTTGGGTCAGGTCTACCTGGATAATCTCCTTATCTGAAGGTCAAATGCTTTGGGACTTTAATTATATCTGCAAAATCTTTTCATACCAACACTTAAATTTGTGTTTGATTAAATAACCAGAGGATGGAATCCTTGTGAGTCATCTTTATATTTCAGTCCATTCCCTGGTCCCCCAAAAGTCACATACCACCCAAATGCAAACTACACTCACCCTTTCCAAGTCCTTCTGATAGTCACTTATATGTGTCAATGTAACTAAGCTATGGTCCACAGTTATGAAGCAAACACGAATCTAGGTGTTGCTGTTGAACGTATTTAGTAGATGATGTGATTAATATCTACAACCAATTGACTTTCTCTAAAAGAGATCACCCTTAATAATCTGGGTGGGCCTGATTCAATCAGTTTAAAGGTCTTGAGAGCAGAACCAGGAAGAAGAAATTCCATCTGTGAATGGCATCCTCAGCCTTTCCAGCCTGTCTTTTCTGATCACTTCCTCTATGGATTTTGGACTTGCCTAGTTAATCCCCACAACTGTAAATTGCAAGAAATCTGTCTATGCCGAGACCAGCTTGGTCATGGAGACCCAGCAGCACTAGAGGAATTAAAGACACACACACAAAAATATAGAGGTGTGGAGTGGGAAATCAGGGGTCTCACAGCCTTTAGAGCTGAGAGCCATGAACAGAGATTTAACCACATATTTATTGACAGCAAGCCAGTGATAAGCATTGTTTCCATAGATTATAGATTAACTAAAAGTATTCCTTACAGGAAATAAAGGGATGGGCTGAAGTAAAGGGATGGGTTTGGCTAGTTATCTGCAGCAGGAGCATGTCCTTAAGGCACAGATCGTTCATGCTATTGTTTGTGGTTTAAGAACACCTTTAAGTGGTTTTCTGCCCTGAGTGGGCCAGGTGTTCCTTGCCCTCATTCTGGTAAACCCACAACCTTCCAGCGTGGGCATCGTGGCCATCACAAACATGTCACAGTGCTGCAGAGATTTTGTTTATGGCCAGTTTTGGGGCCAGTTTATGGCCAGATTTTGGGGGGCCTGTTCCCAACATGTCTGTCTGTCTGTCTGTCTGTCTGTCTATCTATCTATCTATCTATCTATCTATCTATGTATGTATGTATGTATGTATGTATGTATCTAGCTAGCTAGCTATCTACCTACCTACTATCAATTACATATATGACATATGTATTACATATATTTACATACATATAATACATATTATTACACACACAGACACACACACACAGACACACACACACAGTCTCCTACTGGTTTGTTCTGGTGAAATCCTAATTGATAACAGTCCACCAAAGTCTCATCCCATTACAACATCAGCTGAAAGTCCAAAATCTCATCTAAATGTCATTCGTTTAAAAGTACTAAATCTCATCTAAATGAGGTGTTAAAGAGGTTCATCAGTCTCATTCATTGTGGGCTATGATGCGGATTCATCTGTAGACCTGAAAAGCTAAAGCAAAAGTTATCTGTTATCAATATTTTCCCAATGCAATGGCAAGACAGGCATAGAATAATAATTATGGACATTTCATTCAAAAGGAAGGTATGTGGAAAGTGAAAAGAAGTCACCAGCCCAAGGTAGTTCTGAAATCCATTTATCAACCTCTTTTAGGTCTCTGGGATTAATCCTCTGTGGCTCTCAGCTCTACTGTCCACATTCATGGTTCCACCCTCTGGATTTTCCTTTTTACCCCTTGAGTCTCCCTTTCTCTTACTTGAAAGGTAGTATGTGTTTGTAGCTCAACAGTTTCATCAATCTGCTTCCATTCAGTAGAATATTCAGGGTCTCTTTTCACATAATAATTTTCATTTCAAACTAAAAATTCTAGTTTTTCTTTAATCCGCTCTGTAACATTTTATGGTTACCAATTTTCTGCTTTGGAAAGTTTACATAATATTTATCTGCACATAGTACAAATAGATGCTTTCTGATCTGTGCTGATAATTGCAATATCCAAAGTTGTTATAATTATTGTTGTTACATTTTGTTTATGATGATTCTCTATCACAGGGTGTTGCTTCCATAAGTGCTAGATCATTACAATTGAATAATCATTTTTACTAATAATCTGAGGCCGAGGATGACAGATCTTCTTTCTGAGTAGACTTTAAGTTACTTCGATTGGTATAAACAATCTCGAACTAGCTTAATCAAAGTTCAAGCCTTGAGATTTCACGCAAAACCCCCTTAGGACTGCTTTAACTTGCGGGGGCACTTTTTGGGGTATATTGACATTTTGGTTCTCATATTATTAGTTGGGGAGAGCAAGATTAACCCTCCCTGAGTTGGACAGGCTCCTTTACATCTCAGTTTTTCGGGTATCATTTCCAAATCGACAGTTTCCCTCAATGCAAAAGCAGGTCGGAATGCTGGGCTTCTCTCTGGATTCTCACCTTCTCTTTGAACATTGGCCAGGTAATTTGTCACTGTCT
The DNA here is from genome assembly GCF_000001405.40 of Homo sapiens. NCBI lineage: Eukaryota > Metazoa > Chordata > Mammalia > Primates > Hominidae > Homo > Homo sapiens. The sequence goes on along the minus strand of NC_000006.12, from coordinate 9,183,283 downwards.
TGTATGATTTTTGAAGCTTTTAAAAGTATTTTAAATAAAACATTACATACAGAGTTTTTAGTTGTCCTTGGTGAAAGGATTGGTTCAAATTACTGAGCCCACCATTGCTTTATGTAGGAAAGTTTCCAAACAAAACATTTATAGTGCCTGTTTCATATATGGACAAAACTTTTGAAGTACTAGGCTTTTTTTCTGTGGGTCTAGTTCCAAGATTATGAAGGCTTAAGATGGTGTCCCCATTCCTACATGGGTTTACAATACTTAACCTCCATTATCAACTATGGTTCCAGCCCCCTCTCTTTTCTAAGTCAGCTTTGAGTTTTCACTTTCTTTCTGGCACATGGCAATTCTTCCTCTCCATGTTTTTGAGATAAGCTGGGTTTTATTTTTGCTCATTTGTTTACTTATAAATATTGCAGATGCAACACATAAGCAAGGAGGTTTAGCTATTATTTCTTTTTGTTTGTTCTATGGCTATATTGGAATAGAAGCTGTCCATATCAACTTATTCTACACAGTGTTGGAGGCACCCCCTGCCCTCCTCACACATATTCATTAGTATCCAAGCATCTCTTCCTGAACCCAAAGCATACTAAGTGATGCATATATTAATACTTTATAAGCTGTATGTGTGGATATCTTTAACATTTACCTTTGTCCAATTTACAAATTTTTCTGTTTCCCCTCACTATATTTAATGTTTAATATTTCCAAATAGGATTGAAAAGAAAACTCAAATAAGTTATCCACTTCTGATAGCAAATTTGACATTATTGCTTTATAATTACAAATATCATCTGTTGACATCATTCTAGTATGGATAGCTCAGTGATGTTGCCAAGATTTAAACTTTATTATTGATTTTCCAGGGGAAGAACTTACATGTTTTCCTACAATAGTCAGATTATCATAGAAGTGGTAAATTTTACTAATGTGTCAAAATTCTATCCACCAGATAATGTCTAGGAAATCACAGCTACCTGCTATGGTTTGAAGGTTTGTGTCCCTCCAAAAAATTCATGTTGAAACCCAAGGCCTAATATGACAGTATAAAGAGGTGGGGCATTTGGGAGGTGATTAAGTCCTAAGGGTGGAGCCCTCATGAATGGGATTACCACTTTACAAAAGGACTCCAAGGAACTAGCAAGGCCTTTGCCTTCTGTGTTCTGCCAAGTAAGGATGCAGTAACAGAGCACCTCTCAGAAGCAGAGCAGCCTTCACCAGACACTGAATCTGTTGACGCCTTGATCTTGGACTTCTCAGTCTCCAGAGCTGTGAGAAAATAAGGTTCTGTTTTGTACAAATTATCCAGTATCAGGTACTTTGTAATAGCAGCATGAATGGACTAAAACACCATCCAAAGAATGAACAGATGAAATCCCACACTTGATGAAAAGACTAGTTCTAGCTTCTAGGGTGAGAAAGACCCAACTGAAGCCTGTCTGAGACCAGTGTTTCACAGTAGGTAATAACACAATTATCTTTCTGGTTTTCCTTAAAACTAAATGCTCCCCTAACTAACAATCCTGAGATGATTAAAAACCTGAAAGACGGCTGGGTGTGGTGGCTCACGCCTGTAATCCCAGCACTTTGGGAGGCCAAGGCAGGTGGATCATAAGGTCAGGAGATCAAGACTAGCCTGCCCAAGATGGTGAAACCCAGTCTCTACTAAAAATACAAAAAACTAGCTGGGTGTGGTGGCGGGTGCCTGTAATCTCAGCTACTTGGGAGGCTGAGGCAGAGAATTGCTCGAACCCGGGAGGCAGAGGTTGCAGTGAGCCGAGATCACGCCACTGCACTCCAGACTGGGCGACAGAGTGCGATTTCGTCTAAAAATAAATAAATAAATAACCTAAAAGACTTAGCTTTGACTATATCTAAGAAAGTCAAAGAATTTCAGAGCCATAAGGTTACTTAAATTTTCCAGGTGATGGCACCATGATGTCAGACAGGTAATTTATAGAATAAGTGGTACTACATTCCAACACTAATTTTATAACCGTCATGGGGGGCGTCCTGCTATGCAATTCAATTCTGTTACTAATCAGAGTTAATGCAGATCCCCACAAATTAAGGGCTCAATCTTACATGACTGTTCCCACTTAAGATACAAGCTACAAGTCTTACATATCCCTAAATCACCCACCCTTCAGCCCGCCATGGCTACAAATTCAGGGTTTTCAGAATCCCTCTTCAGGTTACATAAATGATAGACTTTGGATACTTGTCGCCACCCCACTCAAATCTCATGTTGAATTGTAATCCCCAGTGTTGGAGGTGGGGCCTGGTGGGAGGTGATTGGCTCATGGGGGTGGATTCCTCATGAATAGTTTAGCACCATCGCCTTGGCCCTGTCCTTGTGATAGTGAATGAGTTCTCGTGAAATCTGGTCATTTAAAAGTGTGTGGCACCTCCCCTCCCACCTTGCTCCTGCCCCTGCCATATGAGATGGCTACTTCCCTTTTGCCTTCTGCCATAATTGGAAGCTTTCCGAGGCCTCCCCAGAAACAGATGCCGCCATGCTTCCTGTAAAGCCTGCAGAACTCTGAGCCAATTAAACCTCTCTTCTTTATAAATTACCCAGTCCCAGGTACTTCTTTATAGCAGTGCAAGAATGGCCTAATATGATAATTCACTGGAATGATTCACAGAACTCACTGGAAGCACTGTACTTACTCTTACAGTTTTGTAATAAAGGAGACAACTCAGGAATAGCTAAATGGAAAAGGCAGGATGAGACTTGGAGGGTCCCAAGCATAGGAGCTTCTGTGGAATGCACCCCCTTCCCAGTATATCCATATGTTCACCAACCAGGCAGCTCTCCAAGCTTCATTGGAGTTTTTATGTGGGATTCATTACATAGGCATGATCAATTACATCACTGACCATGTGATGTAAATCTTCATCTCCTCCCTCCATCAGGGGATGAGGCTGAAAGTTCCAACTCTCTAATGAAGTGTATTGCAAGAACAGAATAAATGAGCTACATTGGAATGCTATTGGGAAACTAAGGGCTCACCCCAAGTCACCTCATTAGCATCAACTCACGTATCCTCTGAAGGGGCTTGTGATGGTTAATACCAAATGTCAACTTGATTGGATTGAAAGATACAAAGTATTGATCCTGGGTGTGTCTTCGAGGGTGTTGCCTAAAGGGATTAACATTTGAGTCAGTGAGCTGGGAAAGGCAGACCCACCCTTAATCTGGGTGGGCACAATCTAATCAGCTGCCAGCGCCGCTAGAATATAAACTAGCAGAAACATGTGAGAGTAGAGACTGGTGTAGCCTCCCAGCCTACATCTTTCTCCGATGCTGGATGCTTCCTGCCCTTGAACATCGGACTCCAAGTTCTTCAGTTGGAACTTGGACTGGCTCTCCTTGCTCCTCAGCCTGCAGAAGGCCTATTGTGGGACCCTCTGATCATGTGAGCTAATACTTAATAAACTCCCCTTCATATATATATATATATATATAGAGAGAGAGAGAGAGAGAGAGAGAAATACATATATATAAATAATACATATATAAATACATATATATATCATATATAAATACATATATAAATACACATATATATCATATATAAATACATATATATGAAAATACATATGTATATATGTATTTCATTAGTTCTGTCCCCTTAGAGAACGCTGACTAATACAGGACTCATTATGAATAACAAAAGATACTTCTGTCACTCAGGGAATTCTGGGGGTTTTTGCTGTGTATCACGAACTGGGGGAAAACATCAGAGATAATTTTTATTATACCACGGACACTTAATAAAATGCTGTCATAGGCTCTAAGAACAGGCTTTGTTTCAGGGAAGAGCAATTACAATAGCAGAGATAGGAAACACATAAACATTCAATGTTACTACAGCACGTGAAATGGGTGCACATCAGTGTAGCAAAAGATAGATGAAAGTAGGAAATTATATAAGAGTAATTATCAAAAAGGAAAAATCACATTATACATATTTCACATATGGTCTTGCTCATGGGCAAATAAATCTAAGTGATTGTTATCCCAACATATTAACAACAGATCTGGATCGGTAGTAGAAATCTCATTGGAATAATTTATCTCATCAGGAATAGTTAGTTTATACAGCCTCGAAGAAAAAGATTTAATTTTAAGATGGAATGAGTTTAGCGTCTCTGAATTTTTTTCTAGTAAGAACAGCTGTTCATATATATTTGCCTATTCCCCAAATTCCCCTTGCCAGTCCCCCAGAGAAATTGTCTCGGTGAATTCAATAAGAATTATATTATTGAGAAACTCACTGATCCTCATTTTATTATTTGCAAAGTTACAGTTAGGAAATGTCAATATTTTACTATCAGGAACCACATGATCCTACCCTGGGTAGAAAGAATGACATGGAATGGTGGGGAAACGATCATATGTAGAGCCACACGGCCAGGGCCATGTTCCTGGACCTGACATTAATGTAATGTGTGATTTTTTTGGCAAACACTTAACCTGCATGAGCTCATTTGCCAGATAAACACATTAGACTTCGACTTGCTTGGTTAAAGATTGAATAATTCAAGATTCTATTCCTCTTGACTTCAGACTACAGGATAATAATCTGAACTGTAATACACCAGCACTTACACATACACCAGTCACCCAAACTTTCTTTACACAAATAGACAGCACTTCAGACCCTAAGAGGGATTGAAAATACAGATCCTGAAAGAACCTCAAAGGACAGTATCCTAATTTTTATTGATTAGTATAAACCCCTTTAATAAATAATAATATAAAACATAACTTTGCTAATGGATCAGATTTCACCCCTCATTGGCTTACTTTTTACTCAGACCATGACTATGACAATCAGCTTTTTGGCACCCTACCGCAGCTCTACATATAGTTTTCTACACCAAGTCCACCCTGATGCTGTAGCAGGGGAATCATGCAGAAGTTCACTAAACTCATGCATGCACAAGGGAAGTGATGGAGAGTTAATGGCCCATGGAGCAATCCTGAGCAATGGGAAAGGAATCAGATGGAAAACTGCCCCTCCCTTCTCTCCCTTAGAAGCACAAGTTTGAGGCTCATTCTGTACAGCTTTTCAGGCAGTCTTCGTAGGTTTGAGTCTTAGCTGCCCTCAACAATGATCAGATGAATGATGCATACTGTTGGCTTTTCCTTGCTCCTCATTTCAACCTCCTATTTCCCTGTAATCACTTCCCAAACAATCTGCACACAAGCTAATGGCTCAGGCTCTGTTTTTGGCAAGGAGCATACCAAGGCTAGGCCAACCAGTAGTAGAAATATCCTAGAAAGCAGACTTTTAAGAGGAGATTCTGGAACTGGATTACTCGCTGACTGTATGGCAATGAGGATGCCATTTCTGGCTGTAAGCCAGGTGATAACATTAATCTTGACATTTAATAGCATTGCAATACTAGGATTCTCACCAGTGGCGGTTTAGGGTAAGTTGTAGGTGGAACGTAACCATGACTGGTGTTGAACAATGTAGAAACTATGGCATCTATACATTGGTTGTATTTTGTTCACTGCTTTAGAAATCTTGTAGAAATAAAATAACAGTTCCTCATCTAATCATCATCAACTTCAGACATGCTGTGAAAGCCAGAAGCCTCCACATTTCAAAAGGGCTTTATCTCCTGCAGCTGCAGGGCAGGTTGTGCTATAAAGCAGATATTAAATTTAATTATGAGGGTAGCAAAGCTAATAAGGAGACTAAATACCTCTATGGGGTTTCTATATAAACGTGCCAGGAGAAGAAAGAGCACCTGGCACCTGGATGGAAACATTTGGGATGGTGAGCCTGAGAATCTTGGATTCTTAGATTCCACCGAAACCTTCTTGCTAGAAGAGAGCTGTATATCCATGCCTGGAATCCCTATAAAGCCACCCCCTGAGGTAGGTCCTTCTCAAGATGAAGGTACTCATCTTCCTCAAGTCCAGTTTCGGCTCTAATCATGACTTCTAGCTTAATTCATACAGTCAAGTTGCAACATAGGCCAAATGGAAAGATATCATCCCTGTTCTGCAAGGAAATATCAAAACCCTAAAATAATTGCAAATTAGGGATATTATGTTTCACTAAGTAATAAGGAGTGGATCTTGAACAGAGAATTGTGAAATATAAGGATGAATAGATAAAAATGTCTTCACATGGAAACCTGCTCATGTGGCTCTCAGTTTAAATTCCCTGAAAGCACACTGGGAGCTGGGTATGCTGCGGTGATAGGATGTCTCCTTGAAACTTGAATACACTAGCAGTGGGCAGTAAACTAGGCGGGGATGCTGGAATCACTTTTTCTTAGTATGTAGTTCAAGGGGCTCAGGAGGTAGGCATGTTTAAATTGAGATTGTATGTAATACAAGGGAACCCACCATCTGACTAGGTTCCCTGGAAGGACCTAACGTACATGTCACTAAGAAAATAAGGAACATAGCAAAAGTATACGTGCAAGTTGGTGATGGGTGTTCTTTGTAGGTTGAAGTTGACAATAGGAGATCCTATCATATAACTGGGCTCCCTAATACTGTGAATGCTTCTGAAAAGGTGAAGACCAGGTGGCACTGAACTCACAGAATTAAAATCCATACAATAAATGAGATGGACAGAGCAGCCTAAGTAGCAACCAGGTTGCCTTGATCCTCAAGCATCTGTGGTGATGGCTGATAGTCCATGGTGTTCCTAGGTGCAAAATAGATGAACAGCCAGGATTTTAGACTTACTTAATTTAAAAATTCCAAACGATGGCTAGTAAAAGACTGAAATCAGCTGCTGTAATGGAAAATGGCAAACCTTTACCCAATTTTCAGATCTAAACCAATTCATGGTAATAAATGTTTACCATGTGTGGCAGCATGGCTTTCAATGCACTTGAAGCTATGACTCCCACCTGGTCACCACCACTTATACTGGTGAAGAAAGAAATGGCAAATACTTTGAATGCCATGGTGAAAGTCATATGTGCCACAGGATGAGAAGAAAACCACATGAAATTTCAGAGTCTGCAATACCAGTGGGTTTTAGGGATTAAATTGTCTGGAAGACATTCTGAGAAATCTCTTCTAAAGTAAAGAACCATTGTTTTTCCTTGTTATCTTATCACCATGAAGAAAGAGGTACAACACCTTTTGGAGATCTTTGGATTCTTTTATGCATTTTATGGACGTACACTATAAAGAAAAGCCACACATCATTAGTGAAACATGGTTCCTGGTATACTGCTAGGTTCAGTGAAACACTTAGTATTTCATCATGGGGCATCAATTAAGTATGTGAGAACTCCTCATTATGAATTGGGTATTTTCCCATACACTGAGTCAAGAACTGCAGGAACCTACTACACAGTGGAAACAGCACATTCAGAATCAGGCCAGAGCAGACCCAGAAAATAAACAAACAAACAATAAAACACAGGAACTGATAGTTTAGATTCCCATGGCACCTGCCTTTTAAAAAATGATGCTTTTTGCTTAATCCATATATATATATATTTTTTTGAGACAGTCTTGCCCTGTCATTCAGGCTAGAGTGCAGTGGTGCAGTCTTGGCTCACTGCAACCTCTGTCTCCCAGGTTCAAATGATTCTTGTGCCTCAGCCTCCTGAGTAGCTGGGATTACAGGCACCCACGACCATGTCCAGCTCATTTTTGTATTTTTAATAGAGACAGGGTTTCATCATGTAGGCCAGGCTGGTCTTGATCTCCTGGCCTCAAGTGATCCAACTGCCTTGGCCTCCCAAAGTGCTGGGATTATAGGTCTGAGCCACCCACCATCCCAGCCACTTAATTTATGTTTAGTCCCTCACCTGAAAATTTTGACTAAAAAGGAAAACTCCCAGACTTATTCTGAAGAAAAAGCCAGCTAGTTATATGCCTTCTTGCCAAAAAAGGATTGCTGCTACAGGCCATCTCACTTGGGGTAGACTTAAAGGATGACGACGAAAGGAAATTCTCCCAGTGAATAAAGCGTCAAGAAATATACGTGGTCTTTCAATTTGAATGGAGAGAGAAATAACTGAGGTACAGATATATATAAACTCTGGGCAGCGTAAGTGTCTTGACTGATTGATCATAAGATTAGAAGGAAAAAAATTGAAAAGCAGAAACAAAAACTTAGGGCAGTCATGTGGATGGACCTATGGGAATGGATCTTAAGCCCACTCTCTTATCACATCCTCCAGAAAAAGTTTTTAAAGAGCAAGCATTCAACACCCACATATGACTTGCCAGCTACTACAACGCTAGAACAGTGAGCCAATGAACTGAGGAACCATGAAGCCATGCGTGTGCCCAATAGCCTGGGCACCCTCTGGCCAATTATGATTTTGCTAGAGCCACAGCTGAATGACAAACATGCTGAGAGAGAATGAGGCTAAGTCCTCTAAATGACAGCATCCCTTAGAGAGAAGATGCAATCTCTTGATGGTGAGTTGATCATCATGGAACCCTACTACCCCGCAGGATATCCTTATCAGACTCATAGCAGCTCCATGTTTGCCTTACCATCTACAGACTTACAAAATTCCTGATTACCAGCATGCTGCCTTCACAACAATGTCTTACACAAGAGGATCCATTATCAAGAGTGTCTTATTAGTCTTGACACAGTATTCATTGGCCCTGCCATGTAAGACATCACTTATAAGCAGCCACTTAAGAATAGCGAAATTGCCGATTAAAGTCTTAATTAAGGAGTCTTCTTGGGAACTCAACTTGGGTTTGGGTGCCATGCTCCAGGATGGGATATCCATGTTGAGCCCACAGCTGACACGTGATGCTGATTGCTAGATGATGTCAATGGCTACAGTATAGGAGTCCTGGGATCCAGTGATGCTGCCCATGAGCCTTTCTTGCCATTATTTTAAATAAATCCAGTTACAGAACCTGTATTTCCCATCTCTGAACATGTAGTTTCTGCCAAGCTAGATATTCTGGTCTCTAGGGGAATCACTTCCACTAGGGCATGCAGCATGACTTCCAATGCACTTAAAGCTGTGACTACCACCTGGTCACCATCACTTATACTGGTGGAGCAACAGGCAAAGAACAGTTACTAAACTGTCAAGGGTAATTGCTGCATAATGGAGACAGGAAAGAGTACATCTGGAACCCAAGAGATCCACTGAGGCAGCATTGGGCACTCTGTGTCCAGTTATAACTGTATATAGGCAATAATAGCAATTCCAACAACAAAAAGTGTGCAGCAAATCATGGCTGAGTCCCTCAGGAATTAAGGTGTGTGTCGTTCTACTAGGTAAGCAACCTAAACCATGTGAAACTGAGTGAGGTGGGGGATGTCAGGTGGTGGAGAAGAGACATGATTCATGTAAATTACTATCTCAGGACCAGTTTCAGCTTAAGTGACTGCAGCTTGTTCCATACTCTAAGCCTTTTATAGAGACTGCAGCTGGCTAGCATTTGAAAAATTACTGGGAGATTTGACTTAGTAAAGACACAAGAATATCTGAGCTATGTAAGTGTCACACCAAGTGTCAGGTTCTAGCCCACACTGAGGTCTGAGGGGAGTGGGTAGATGGCTGGCAGATAACTGAAAGAAAACTTGGGGGCCGTAGGCAGGTGAAATATGGCTTTATTCAGCAGCTCTCTCACACTGTCTACCTTTGTCTTGGCTGCCCTCTCCTGCTCCATGACTCCTGCCACTCCCACACTTACAGCCACACTCCCTGGTATGCTTGCTGGTTTCTGGCTCCCTCCTGTCCGACTGCAAGAGGGCCAGCTCTCCCTTACAGGGGCAGCAGTTTCACTCTCTCTCTCTCTGGGCATGAGCCACACGTGCAGTGTCAGCAGGGCAGTTATACCTTTTACAGACAATGGTGGCTCAGAGCCGAGTGTGAACTTACACAAACAGGTTATATAACAAGCAGAGTTATGCACCTGTGCTCCAAACTCGCTGAGTCACGCTGGCCCAGATGTCTGCCTCGGCCTATTCTTGACCAAAGCAGATCCATCTTCCTTACTGTAAGTTATGGAGCCCATCTTTTACTCAAGTCCCTGTTGTAGAAACCGATTTAATGAAGGTGTAACCTGACCTTAGCTGCATTGTCTTCCTGTGCTGAAGCCGGGGTGGCAAATGTCCATGGAAACCTACTGAGCACTCACACAGGAAATTTTGGAGTCCTGTGGATGTTAGTGCCTCATGGGGACTCTTGACAGTACAGGACAGGAGGCAGTAAACAGATGCTCCCCATTCAGTTCTGTTTGCCGGACCCTGTATTGAGTCCAATAGGAAGGAACTGTGTTGGAGAGGGTGAAGAAGAGACTCAGAGCCAGTGAACAAGACATAGGATTTATTGAGGATTTACATATGGGGCAGGTCCTGGAGCAGCCAGCTAGACTGTACAATGGCTACTGTTTGTAAAAATCACACAGTTTATATAGCATCTTCATTTAGCACCCTCCACCTGGCAACCTCCGTTTAACCCCAAAGGTCCTTGGTTCCTTGCACATCCTGTGAATGGGCCAGGGATTCAGATGTGCTTCATAGATAAGGAGAAAATCTCCGGGCTGGCCACTCCCAGAGTCCTTAGCCTGACACTGAAAACATACATTCTTCTTAGACCATAGGGTCATTCTCCGGGTATGCTTAAGTTACTGCTTAATTTGACGCCTAGTTGTCCACATAGCATAACTATTTAGGTAACATACCTTTTGTTTTAAAATGTAGGTTTTATTATTTTTCAAGTATGATGAGGCCAACAGATTAAGAGGACTTTCATTGCAAAGATAGTGCCTTACTCCACAGTTCCCACACCATGCAGGGCCACATGGGAAAGTACCAGGGTACCAGGTATCAGGAAGTGGGGGTGGGCCATGGGCAAGGGCTTTTATTGTGTTTTTTGCAGGAAAGAATGGACCAGGTAGGATAAGCAGGGCAGAAAGGGTTAGGGTTGGCTGGTTGGAATGATTTCAGCAGGCTCCTCTGTGTGGGGGTTGACTCTTAACAGTGTAGTACCTGGCCCTGGGGGTATTAGAGGAGGGGAATAATGGCATGGAGTGTAAGAGCCATTAAATGAGGCAGTCATCAGGTGTGGGTGCTGGATTGGTAAGTTGGCATATGAAAAGCACGCTTCCAGGAGACCTCTTACCAGCTATCTCTGGTAATGGGCTAACCTTGGGAGGGGCAGTCCCTCTAGGGTCAGCAAAGGCCCAGATATCAAAGCATCAGAAATACAAATAATAAAAAGGCATGGTTAATACACCCTTGTATTTGCTTTTCTTCCTTTTTTGCTTTACTTTTTTCAGGTTTCACTCCTTTTCCCTGAAATTGCTTTATGAATAAATTACCTTTACACTGACTCTAGTCTCATGCCTTGCTTTCATGGGCTTTCATAGGGGATATTCTGTTTCATAGAGAAAGGGGTGGGTGGTGGGAGAATGCCAGCTAAGAAAAAATTCTTTCTAAGTCACTCATTCACCTTTAGATTTCGTTTCAACATCACAGATTTTGACTCTGTGCATATTCAACAGATTCAGTGGCCATGACTTTACAGTGTGAATGCTGCATTTCTAAAGAGAAGTCATTTGTGAAGGTAAAAATGTCGTATTAATAGAAAAGCAGGTCTAGCTGAGAAGACGGTTCTAAAGAACGAGAGTTGTGTTTTGTGTTTGTTTGTTTTTACGGATGTGAGCTACAGGAGAAACCTCTCCTTGATTATTAGTAAAGTTAAATGTAAAGCATGTATTTTGCTTCATATGGAAAATGGGATCTAAATCATGTATAGGGTATTATTAAAGATAAGAAGAGACATATAAAGTAAAAATCAAGAATAATGTAATCAAATACATCATATATTCTCTTGGACATTTTCCCAAGCTGCCGTGGCATTTTTTTTTCTTTTTTTTGTGTTAAGAACCAAAGGAATTGCTTGAGTAGTTGAGCACTACGGACCTCTTTGAGCTAATATGAATGTTACCTGATTCTTGATTCTTCTTTGTCAAGACCGCAGGATGGCAATCCCACCATGACAGGAGGAAAAGTAATTCCCATTTTATGTTACCCAACATCAGGGATTGTGAATAACAGGGCCCCCTGTTCTCCCAGGAGCACAGTTTGTTATTCCATCTTCTTGGTGTACATCCTTCCAGGCAGACACCTCCCACAGCATTCTCATAGACTGACTTGGAAAATGAAAAGCCATCCAAGATTGCATTTAAAAAGCCCATCACATGGCATTTATTTTTTTTAATTAGTAAAAGAGTTTAAGAGTTCAATAGAAAAAAAAAAGAGTTAAATTATTTTGCTGCATTAAACAGAAAAAAAAAAGATCTACACTAGATGAACTACCTTGTATTTCAGAATGGGAAATTCGTTGGCACGAGTCATCAATTTTGCTCTATCTGAGATTTCCCTGTGTACTTTCCTAAGGGTCTGAATTTGGAAATCCAAATACATCTGGGGACTAAATTATTTAGAAATTACCCTGAATACCAGATTAGTGAGATTATCTAAAAATAACAGGTAATGTAATGCAGAAGGTAACTAATGACCTGTAAATGCAGGTTCCTCTACAACTCTCCCTTTAGGGAGTAGTTAACGTTTCTCAAATGGCTTCTATGGGAACTGGATGGTTCAGAGGAATTGGTAATAGGAGATGATGCAGTGATTTTGCCATTATGTCCTTGCTTGAACAACACATAAACAAACCATCTTTCTGAACAAATCTATTCATAAATGCTTAAGAAATGCATCAAATGCTGATAACAACCTGAAAACTGCACTGCTAATCAGACTTCTCAAGCTTACATGTCAGAATCCATCTTGCAGAGCACACACATTATTTTGTCCCTTTGTCTTTTCTGCAGCAATAGGCTATGCTATCACTCCAGTGTAAAACTTCTGTTGCAAGCAAAAGTTAATCACAAGTTCTTTCTTCATTTGTACCTATTTAAATTGGTCCTTATATAGATAATCAAGTAATTTGGGGACTAACACAGAGAATGGAGGACAGGAGGATAAAGAAGCATTTACTACAAGGTACAATGAGGTAAGAGAACCACAAGAGAAAAAAAATAGAGCTGAAAGGGAATCTGTAGTTACAACCAAGCTCTTTATTTCATAGCTGTGCAAAATGAAACAGAGATGCATTAAATTGTCTTGCCCCAGGTAAAGTACTTAAGAAACAGTAGAGGGTCAGGTCTTGCCCCCTCTCTATTGAGTGTTCTTTCCTCTGCAGCACACTGCATCCCCTTGAAAGGCATTAGGAAACAAGCCATAGGATTTTGCTGCAAATTGCTCAGACATAAGGTGCAATAACAGCGGACAGACTAATCAGCACAAAGCAGGTAGTAGCTAAAGTTGTCTTTCAAAGTTGGCCAAGCGACCCTATATTTGTAGCCATAACTGCATGGCACTAATTAAGAAGTGAAAAATGGCACGCAAGCAACACTGCTCTCTCAATACCTTTTATTTTATCCAACCTATGCAGAACAGAAGGTTAGGAGAAAAGGAAAATCTCAATTCTAGTTAGCAATTTGATCATACTTGCTAATGAAACTAGCTATTCTAACATTTTATAATTGCAGAAGTTTTAAAATACAGATCTGAAAATCACATCAGGCAGGTAAAAAGTGTCTGAATGCAAATCAAAGGGCAATGTCAATGTGTGTGAATAGAAGAAAAGGGTACTCTTTTTCTAAGGAAAGGGTTCAGAGTTTTTCATGGTCTGGTATACCAGAAAGAATACAGCCTTTGGAATCAGATGGGCCTTGAGCTACTACCCTTTACCAGCTATGTGCCTCAAGTCTTTTGACTCTTGCCCTCTTGACTTAAGCAATTTCAGCTATCACATGGAACTAATAATAAATACCAGTCTACTTGTTGTCAGGATTAAATGGGATAATACATTTAAAGCTATTACCATAAAATACATACTCAATAAGTGGCCATTTTGATCAGTTTTATTTTTATTATGAAGCAATTCAAATCCATATAAAGAATAGTATAATGTATCACTATGATCCTATCACCCAGCTCCAATAATTAAAAGCTTATGGCCAATCTTGTTTCATCCATATCTGCATCCATGCCCTGTATTATTTGGAAGCAAATTCTAGACATTATTTTTCATCTTTAAATAGTTCAATATGTATCTCTGAAAGATAAAGATCTTTTATAACATAATCCCAAATTACAAACCACCTCTAAAACAGTAATAATTCTTAATATTATCAAATATCAACTCATTGCTCAAATTTTCAAATTGTCTATGGATATTGTAAGTGGTTTTGTTTTCCAGTTTATTTGAATCAGGATCCAAATAGGATTGGTTGATATGTGGGTGCTGTGATATGATGATGAAAAAGATTGCTGGCATTGAGCGGTATAATTTTGGAATGGAAATAACATCTATAAGTAATATGACACTGCTACAGGATTTTAAAGAAGGTATGACTAATATATGACTAATAAATCAGGTCAAATCTTTTCTCTTTCTTACACTCACCTCAAAGGAATAATGAACTTAATTATCATGGCAAATGCCCCCCATCACAATACATCTGCCAGATTCATCCTGCTCTTTCCCTCAGTTTATTTTATGGACAGAAAGACATAGGAGATCTGTGTGAGTGCAGAATGAGTATAGGAGAGGTGTGAATTGGGGTTTGGTGGTGCTGGCCTTTTGAGGAAGTAAGTTATTTTGCGGGGGGTACCTCTGTTTTTGGTGTCTGTATGTGGTAGCTACACATATTCTCTTCCTATCATTGTACTCAGCACCAATTGAGTTCATGCCAACAGAGTTTTACAAAGTATATTTTTCTCTAGAGATGTAATAATTTGTAAAAAGCAGCCCAACAAGGAAATGGTCCATATCCTTGCCTTGCGTTTGGGGAGTAGACTACTACAGCAGACTCATAACTGAAAAGTAAGTCAGAATGAGAGAGAATTGGGGAGATAGTATGCAAACTCAGAAGCATGCAATCAATAAAGCTGGTGGAAGATGCTTCTTTTTTCTATTCCCCACTGCCCTCCAAAAAAGATTACCTATTTACAAATAATAATGCAGTTTTTGCAATTAACTTTAGTGTCGCTGTATACAGATATAATAATATATAAATATAAGCATATATGTACACACACATATACATATAATATACATACACACACATACCTATATATACACACATACATACATACACACACATACGCTTGTTTTGAATTGAGGATGAATGAGATTATATGCAAGGAGATAAGAGAGACCATACCTCCAGCTGTTGACTGTATCTAAGGTTGTGCTTGAAAGTAATAAGAAGAAAGGTGTCTATGACAGAACTGAAGAAGCAGATGGATGGATGAAACAAAATACCAGATGTTACCTCGATGTTATTCTATAAGTCATTAATGTGCATTTGTCTACAAATAAAATTCTTAAAAATTTGTAACGTATCATGGATTAAAATGTCAGTTCCTGTTGAATAATAACTAGAATCATACATGCTTAAATGAGTTAAACCACCACCATTATGTTCCAGTTCCACTGAACTTGGTCCAGACCCTTTTGAATTATGCCATATGTAAGACATTGTTTAGTTCACACAATTGTTTAAACAAAGCCTGAAAAGGGAGGTTGTCCTCTGAAATAAATCATACGTTTTTAAAAGGGATTTGAATCTACTTTGGATACAAATGTATTACTACACAATAATTTAATCATGGGTTTAAGTAGCATTTTGGGAAACATAAAAGGGGAGGTAATCAAATCAGATATGAAGAAAGCCCTATTAGAATACACTCTTTGAATTTCAGAAAATCATGTACAGCAGTTTCTGGTATATATGGTGTTTAGCATGAATGAATAAATTAATGACAACGTGATCCTGCCGGACAAACATGGACTTCCACCAACAGACCAGTGTCCCAGTGAATGATATCCATCTGATTTGGCAAAATGGACTCTGATAAACCATTCATAATGACTTTCTTTCCCAAATCCCTATCTATTTCATCATTAGATTCTATGGAGATTATTTCCTACGTATCAGTGATGCTTTTCTCATCACTTTCACTGCTTGTCTGATTTGTTTTTTCTCACTTTATCTAAAAGGTTATATAAAACATACAGTCTTCAGCCTTTTCAATCTGGCTTCTTTTACTTAAAATGATGCATTTTAGGGCCATCCATTTTCTTGTATCTAACAATAGCTTATTCCCTTTTTATTTACAGCTCAGTATCATTCAATTGTATGGATCTACCACTGTTTGTTTATCCATTTCTAAGTTGAATGATACATTGACGATTTCCACTTCATGGCAATTATGGACAACACTCATCTAACCATTCATATACCAGTTTTTGTGTGAACATTGGTTTTCACTGCATTTGGATAAATATCTAGAAATGTGTGCAATTGCAGCATCATATATTAAGAGTGCATTAACTTTAGAAAAAATGACAGAACAGTTTCCTAAGTGGCTGCAATAAGTTTTATTCTCATCACAACTACGTAAGAGTTTTAGTTGCTCCACATCCTTGGCAAAGCTTTTTATTATCAATTTTTTTATTCTAGCATTCTAGTAGGTGCATAGCAGTATCCCATTTTGTCTTTAGTTTGCATTTCTACAATTAAAAAAAAGTTGAACACCTATTACATGCTTGTTTACCATCCCTATAACTCTGATGAAGTGTCTGTTCAGGTATTTTTTCCATTTATTATTGAGTTGTTTGTTTTCTTTTTACTGAGTTGTGAGAGTTCTTTATATATTATGAATACAAGTTATTGATCAGATATGTGACTTGTAAATGTTGTTGCTCAGTATGTGCTTGTCTTCTCATTCTCTTTACAGTGTTTCTGCAGAACACAAATTTGTAATGTTGATGAAAATCAACTTATCAAAATTTTAACAGATCATGTTTTTAGTGTCATATTTAAGAGATTTTTGTACAATGCAAGATCACAGAGGTACTCTCTAATATTTCCTTCTAAACATTTTATAGTTTTACATTTTACAATTAGGTCTGTGGTCCAATCTTGAGTTAATCTTTATATAGGTTGTGAAGTTTGTGCTATATTTCTTTTATTCTCTGCATATGTGTATCAAAATTTTCAGCACCGTCTGTTGCAAAACATATTGTTTGTACATTATGTTGTCATTGCAACATTGTTAAGAATCAATTGACCATGTATGGTTGGATCTATTTCCTGTTTTATTGCTATCTGACATTTTTAGTTCTATTGTAAATGGTTTTCAATTTCTTCTGTATTTCAATTTTTCATTGCTCACATATAGAAAACTAATTGATTTTTGTAGATCAGCCTTGTATGTTGTGATCTTGTTAAACTCTTTTGTTAGAATAGGTTTTAAAATATTCTTTGAAATTACCTACACAGAAAATTATGTTTTCTACAATTACAGTTTTATTTCTTCATTTCCAATCTGTGTAATTTTTATGCCTTTTTTTTCATTACATTACCTAAGAACATCAGTATAATAGTAAATTGTCAGGGGGTGAGTGAACATGTATGCTTTGTTTTCATTCTTAAGTAAAATACTCAATCTTTTGCCATAAAGAATGACATTAGTTGTAGGCTTTCCATAGATTGCTTCTACCAGGTAAGGTCACTTCTCTTCCTATTTTGCTGAGGCTTTTTATTATGAATGGGTGTTAAATATTGTCCATGGAATCTCAATTGTTAAATGTATGAACATCATGTTGTTCATATAATTTCCTTATTAGTATTTCAATTACTGTATGATCCGTACTGATGTCCTTATTTTTTGTTTCAGATGTTTGGAATTTTTGTCTTACCTTGGATTTTCCTGATATGAAGAAATATCAAAACTTGATACCAAGTTTTGACTATAGGCTTATCCTTTTGTCTTTTCAAAGAACAAACTTTTAATTTTATTTTTTATTTTTCTGTTGTCAGTCTTACTGGTTTCTGCTCTAGTCTTCATTAATTTTTCCCTTCTATTTTCATTGGGTTAAATTTACTATCAATTTTTAATTTTGTTAAGGTAATGTTTATATATGTGACTTGAATCCTTTCTTCTCTAATATAAGCACTTATTGCTATAAATTTCCTTGTAAACACTGCATTAACTGCATCCCAGATATGCTGTGTTTTCATTTCATTCGCTTTTTTTTTTTCTTAATTTCCATTGTGATTCTCTTTTTGATCTAGGGGCTTAAAAAAAAAGTGTTGTTTAATCTCCAAATATTTGAGAATGCTTCCAAATATCTTTCTGCTGTTTGTTTCTATTTCAATTATGTTCTGGTAAGAAAATACGCTTTGCATGAGTTGAATTATTTTATTTTGACAAAGTCTTATGGACTAGGATATAGTATGTTTTACTCAATAGTCCATATGCACTTGAAAAGAATGAGCATTCTGCCATTGTTAGGTGGAGTGTCCTATAAAGGTCAAACTGGTTGTTACTGTTTGAGTCCTGTACATCTTTACTAATTGCCTGTTTTCTTCTTTTATTGAATACTTAAGGAGGATTGTTGAAAGCTGCAAATACTACTGTGGATTTGCCTATTCTTTTAATTCTAACATTTTTTAAATTCTTTCGAAGTTCTGTTGTTAGATGCATACACATTAATGAGCTTTCCTTTTTACTGGCTATTTGAATTTTTATTATTATGCAATGTTTCTATTTATCCTTGATGATATTTCTTGTTCTGAGGTCTAATTTATCTGATATTAATATACTCAACATTTCAACACTCTTTTGATTCATGTTTGCATGGTTTTACCTTTTCTGTTCTTTTACATTTTTTACATTTCTATACTATATTTCACATGTGCATGTATACGTATATACATATATGTTTTCTTTTAAACAGTATATAGTTGTTTTTTCATGCAATATGATAATCTAGGCCATTTAAATAAGGTATTTATTGATATCATTGAAATAAAATATAATATCTTGTTAGGCATATTCTGTTTGTTTCATCACATCCTTAGTTCTTTTCTTTTTTTTTTTTTTTTGCTTCTTTTTTATTAATTTTTTTTTGGAGATTCTAGTTTATCTCCAGTGCTGGCTTATTTCGTTTAAATATTACAAAAAATTTCTAGTGGCTTAGCCTGAGTCTACATATGCATTCTTAATTAATCACAGTCTATCTTATAATAATATATTACTTTATGTATATTGTATAGATCTTACAATGAAGGACTCCCTTCTATCTTTAGTGCCATTTTTGTCATTCATTTTATTTCTACATATGCCAAATGGCATTGATAATACTTTTGCTATAGAATTCAGTTAGATTCACATCATCTAAAAGTAAGAAAAATATGAACTTTATATATATCCTTTCCTTGTCTCTTTATCACTTTGTGTAGATCTGAAATCTTGACTGCTGTCCTATCTTCTGCCTGAAGAACTTCCATTAATATTTTCCTTAAACCAGGTACATATTCAATTATTTTTTTCTGAAAAGATCTTTATATCTTTATTTTGAAAATAATTTCACTGGATATAGAATTCTAGGTTGACAGTCATTTTCTTTCTACAAAGATATCACTCCATTGTATTCTCTGCCTAGTTTTTTTAAAAAAATTGCTTGAATTCTTATCTTTATTACTTTTATGTAATGTGAGTTTTTTCCTTTATTAATCTATTTCCAACAATTTGAAACTCTCTCTCCCTTTCTTTTCCTCCCCTTCCCTTTTTCTCCCTCTCTTCTTTCTTCTGTGTTTTGTTTTGTTTTGTTATTTGATTTATGTTGCTTATCACTCTCTGAGCTTTTTGGATATGGAATTCGGTATTTTAATTTAATTTTTGAGAATACTCACCATTATCTCTTCAAAACCTATTCTGTGACATACTTTCTCTTTCCTCCTTCAGCGATTCTTTATACACACACATTGGATCATTTGATATTGCCTGACATCTCTTGAAATCTGTTTGGTTCTTGCGTTTTTTACTGTTTTTCTTTGTGTTTGAATGTGTGTAATTTTTATTGATCTATCTTGAAGTTTATTAATCATTTTCTCAGCTATGTTGAATCTACTGTTTAGCCCACTGAAAACATTATTGTTATTTCTTTACTGAATTTTCATTATTTTCTTGCTCTTAGGTTTCATCAATCTGCTGAATTCGCCATCTGAACAGGCATGCTTTCTACCTTCTTCACTAGAGACTTTAGCATTATTAAATTTCTTCTCTGGTATTTCCAACAACTGTGTTATATCTGAATTTGATTCTTTTGATTGCTTTGTCTCTTGACAGAGTATTTTTTTTCTTGCTGCTTTGGCCATCTTATAATATTTCATTGAAATCTGGCATATTATGTAAGACAATGAGATTGATGTAATTAGCATTTATTCCCTGAAATGAACAATGAACATACATCTGTCTTTTTTTCTTTCTCTTTTTCTTTCTTTTTTCTTTCTTTCTCTCTCTCTCTCCCTCCCTCCCTCTTTCTCCTTCCTTCCTTTCTTTCTTTTCTTTCTTCTCTTTTTCATTCTCTCCTTTCTTTTTCCCTTTTCTCTTTCTCTTTTTCTTTCCCCTCCCTCCTTCTTCTCTCTCTTTCCCCTCCCTCCCTCTTTCTTCCTTTCTTTCCTGCCTTCCTTCCTTTTTTCTTTCATTCTTTTTCTTTCTTCTTTCTTTTTTTCATTCTCCTTTCTTTTTCTTTCTATTTTCCTTCTTTCTCTCTCTTTTTTTCACTCTCTGTTTCTCTTTCTTCCTTCTTTCTTTGTTTCTTTTTCGTCTCTTGTTCATTCTCACTCTCTCTTTCTTTCTTTGCTCTGGTTTTAATATAGGAGGGTGAATGTATCAGGAATTGAACTAAATTTAGTTTTCTCGTTACTGTTGTAAGGCTCAGTGAACCTCAGTCTTTGATTCTTCCAGTATTAAATTCTATGCCAGGTAGGGCTGGTATGCTGAAATGTTTTTCTCACTGTTGTATCTCTGCCTTGTATCTGTGTCTCAGATAAGGTCTTTTTTTACATTCTTGAGTCTCTTTGAGCAGTATTTGTTACTCCATGTTGCTAGCCTGGGAAAAGGAGATAAGGAACATTTTCTCCTTTGCTTTTAACCACCAGTCTTCTCCAGGGCCTTCTCAGTGATTTTGCATTGTCTCCAGAAGTAAGGGATCTCTGACTGTCTAGGCCCAGGACATATTCCTGCCCCTTTCCTAGGGACAGGGACCTCTTTTCCTACAGGTAAAGGGTTTTTGTCTCTCTTTCTTGTCTTTCTTTTTCTCTGTCCCTACCTGCACACATATGCTTCCACATTGGTCTCAAGGAGACAAGATTTTTGCCCTTTCTCATGCAGTTTAAGTCTTTTGTTCCATATGGGTGATGAAGTAGAAAGTCTGGGTGAGACTTGATGCCTTTCCTACAGTGAGTAATGTTCCCCTCCTTCCAACAAAGGAGGCCTTGTTGAGATTTTCCCCTGCTGCTAATGTTGCTCATGAGCACAGTGAGATCTGTGGAGAACTTGCTAGGGGCTGTGAATTCCTTTGGAGCAGCAGCCCTAGAGATTTTATTTGCTCACACTATCCCACACATAGTCTTTAGTAATTTATTAGAAAGATTAGCTGAGTTTTTCTGCTGACTTAACTGTTGAATAGCATCATCCTCAGGTAAGCAAGGATTTAACCCTCTCTCTCCTTAGGGAAGCCCATCTATCATTAGATATTTTAAGTTAGTTTTTGCCCGGTGATCTCAGCTCTCTGATGAATTCAAGAAAAGTTGTGATTTTTCAAATTATCAGCTTTTTTTTTGGAGGGGTTCTTGTTCTGTTGCCCTGGCTGGAGTACATGGCGTGATCATAGTTTACTGCAGCCTTGAACTCCAGGGTTCAAGTGATCCTCCCATCTCAGCCTCCAGAGTAGCTGGGACTACAAGTGTGCAGCACCAGGCCTGGCTTATTTATTTATTTATTTTTTTATTTTGGAGATGGGGTCTTGCTATGTTGAACTCCTGGGCTCAAGCAATACTCCTGCCTCAGCCTCCCAAGTAGCTGGGATTACAGGCATGAGCCACCACACTCTGCTGATTCTTTTGGTTATAATTCTGGGAGCAAAGCTTTCCAGCTTTCTATATCCTAAGCAGAAGCTCAAAGCTCCCAAAATGTTTTATCAAATACAGAAGATAAAAAAAATACATTCTTTGATTTTTTAAGAAGAATGTATGGCATAGAACAAATTAAATGATCTCAGACAGCCTTATAGCAAGTATCAACTATAAATTACTGATTATGAGTAAAATGGGAATTCAGAAGTGAGAGATCTGGGAAATGATAGGAAAGATTACTTTTCTATTATACTTTAAGTTCTGGGATACATGTGCAGAACGTGTAGATTTGTTACATATGTATACACATGCCATGGTGGTTTGCTGCACCCATCAACCTGTCATCTACATTAGGTATTTCTCCTAATGCTATCCCTTTCCTAGCCCCCACCCACCAACAGGCCCCAGTGTGTGATGTTCCCCTCCCTGTGTCCCTGTGTTCTCATTCTTCAACTCCCACTTATGAGTGAGAACATGCAGTGTTTGGTTTTCTGTTCCTATGTTAGTTTGCTGGTTTCCAGCTTCATCCATGTCCCTGCAAAGGACATGAACTCATCCTTTTTTATGGCTGCATAGTATTCTATGGTATATATGTGCCACATTTTCTTTATCCAGTCTATCATTAATGGACATTTGGGTTGGTTCCAAGTCTTTGCTATTGTGAATAGTGCTGGAATAAACATATGTGTGTATGTGTCTTTATAGTAGAATGATTTATAATCCTTTGGGTATATACCCAGTAATGGGATTACTGGGTCAAATGGTATTTCTGGTTCTAGATCCTTGAGGAATCACCACACTGTCTTCCACAATGGTTGAACTAATTTATACACCCACCAACAGTGTAAAAGCGTTCCTTTTTCTCTACATCCTCTCCAGCATCTGTTGTTTCCTGACTTTCTAATAATCGCCATTCTAACTGGCATGAGATGGTATCTCATTGTGGCTTTGATTTGCATTTCTCTAATGACCAGTGATGATGAGCTTTTTTTCATATGTTTGTTGCCCACATAAATGTCTTCTTTTGAGAGGAAGAATTACTTTTTAAGAGAAAGAGCTACGCACCATTTGGGTAGGATCTGAGGATTTACATAATTTCAATATATAAACAGCCTATATTCATCTCATCAAGAATAGATATAGTCTGAGAAAAAAGAACAGAACACTCAGTAGTCTGCAGTTTAACTGTTAGATTCAGTATCTTTGCCCATGTATAGCCAAGAATAGCTGGTAACATTTTGTTAATTAGGCCACACATTTTCCCTTTCCTGTCATTCAAAATAAAAGTAATAGTCAAAGAATAAATAGAAAGCTAAATAAGATTGAAAAAAGGGATTGTTATACTCACAAATGGTACTTAATTACGGCTCTGGCAGACACCAAGCTATAATAGTAAATGTAATTTTAGAAAGAGAATCCAAATAGAAAAAACGTTACTGCTATTATTCAGTTCCAGAAATGATGGTGAAAATTTCTAAAAATGCCAATAATAGATACAAGAGAATAACAATTGCTATGGTAAGTAATTTTGTTAAAAAGTTTCAAAGTCTGAAATCTAGGTCTTTGTTAAAGGTTTCCAAAACCCTAAATCAAGAATGGATTATAATTCAACTTTGTTGAAAGGTTTTAAAGTCTTAAATTCTGGTCTTTAGGACTGAACAGATTTCAAAGCCCTAAGTTAAGAATGAACTATAATTCATCATTGAATTCCAGCAACCAAGTATTTGAAAGAGAGAGAAAGAGAAAGAAAGAAAGAAAGAGAGAAAGAAAGAAAGAAAGAAAGAGAAAGAAAGAAAGAAAGAAAGCTAAATAGCTTTCTATTTCTGTGAGTAAGGTGTCAGTTATCAGAAATTCCATATTGGTAAAATCTTCCTTTCACTATAGGTCAGTACAGAAGAAAGAAAACATTTTTCTACAAAGGTCTATGTTGCTGTCAGATGGCAGCATATTGAATTGTTTAAAAAATCCACATCTTGGCATATGAGTATTTTTCAAAGCTAACTATTCATAAAATGTTGACGTATCATTACTGTAACTGTCAACAGACACGGATAGTGGTATGATCACATGAAATTCTATTCTCGAGGAGACCAGAAATCACAAGACTACACTGAGAATTTTCAGAATGCTACTACCCAAAACAAGGAAATGGCCAGCTTTATCTCAATGAATAACAATATAGTTAGAACACACAACTTCAAGAAATATCAAATTATATTGCCAAGCAATATAATTAATAGAACTCTGTAGTGACTCATGATACTATTTGAATCACTCTAACTTCATGATTAGATGAAAATTCTTATTTTGAAGTTGTTTCATATAATCATATTGAATTGTTTTTCCTATCCCAGCATAACTGATGGATGTTATATTAATAGCAGTAGATTCTATTCACCCAATTATTCTGATATGTTTTTTAATCTAAGGGAAGATATCCACCAGTCGATCTCCATTTAATTAATGGTTTTAAACTATAAAATAAATAGCATTGTCCAAAACAACTCACATTTTTGTAACTAAAATAAACAATCTTTGCAATATGTCTCATTACACTAATTTTATAAATTTTTTCTATACTTTTAATACAAGGTTGACAAATATTGTTAAATCCTAAATCTTAAAGTTAGAAGGTGGCTTCAGCTATCATACATCAAATTCTTCTTTCTGTGTGCAAAATTGAGGTAAAGAATAAGCAAGTTGCCCAAGATTTCACATCAATTAGTCAAAATAAACTAGTTATTTTGTCATCTGTTGCTCTTTCGTTGAAGAGAACCATGTGAGTTCCACTTCTGTCCATGACTGAGTAACTGGTACTGGACATGCCTCACACCAAAAACAGCCGAAGTGGATAAAATACAGTAGAGAAAAGACATCTCTTTTCAGACACTGTACAACAAGCATCTTGGGTCTGTGATAATTGAGAACAAGGTAAGTAAGTGATCTGAGCCCCTGAACAAACCCACCATCACCCCAAGTTTCTGCATAGGGTAATTCTCCTGCCACAGAACACAGAAGAGGAGTCCAAGCTAGCGGCAACTTTACTGAATTGAAGAGACAGATGTCAGAGTTGTAGACTGCTGAAGTGGTTAGAACTTGGACCATGAGGACTTTAGAAAAGGCGACTATGAAGACAGAAGCCCCTAGAAATCTGCATGGGGATTCACATGGCTGAGAGCTCATATGACAAACTTCCACAAGGCCTAGAAGAGATCTCAGAATGATACCAGAGATTATGCAGAGCTGGGAGATTTTGAAATTCTACCCGTTCCAGAGCAAAGATCCCAACAAGCATCATGAATAATCTGTTGAGACAAAAAAAGCCATGCCTAAGAAGTAAGAGCCATAATCTATAAGCGGCATGCTGTAGAACTAAGCTAAAGCTTAAAATAGATCCACTCTAAAAAATAAAAATACAAAATAGACAACAGGTATTAAGTAATTGTGCAATAATTTAGTTGCCTACCAAAACAAAATTCTACACTCTTTAAATGGAAACATTATAATCCAAACTTCTTGGATTATTACAATCTCCAGCCTAAAATAAAAGTTACCAGAGAATGAAGGAATATTAAATATTATTCATAGTCAAGATGAAAAAGGATTAACAGAAAAGGCCCCAAGATGATCTACATAGTAAAATTAGAAGACAAGAATGTTAAAATAGATATTATAAGTATATTCAGGAACTTTAAGAAAAACATTGTCATAATGAATGAACAGATGGAGTGTCACCAAATAAATTGAAACTATTAAAAATGATAAAGGTGAAAAATCTATAATGGAAATTATAATGCCTTAATAAAAAATGCCTTTAATAAAAAATGCCTTTAATTTGAAAATATGTATTGCATGGAATTAACAGCAGATTAGAGCAAAAAGGAAAAGTTGTCAGTGAGTGGACACACATGAATAAAAATAACCCAACGTGAAAACACAGATTAAAAACGATTTAAAATTTAATGGACTTCAGTGACAATATCAAGTGAAGTCCCAAAAGGAGAAGAGAGAGAGTTAAAGATATATGTTGTAGTATAAAAATGAACAACTAAAAAAGGCAGAAATATAACTCAAAAAGTAATATAAAAATAAAATTGAATGAAAAGATTTTTATTTGCTTCAAATTAGAGAGGAAACTAGGAACACAGGAAGAACAATAACAACAAAAAAGGGATGAGACAAAAAATAATACAAATAGCAAAATGGTATATGTTGAAATTCAACAGCATCAGCTATTACATTATATGTAAATGGATTTCCAAGAATGAAGGTTGATACATCATTAGTAAGTACATTATTATAATCAAGCATATTAATACACTTAAGGAGAAAAATAATATGATTATTTCTATAGATGCTGAGAAACTTTTACAAATTTCAAGATCTACTTATGAAATAATTTTAAAAATAGTAATTAAAGACCATTTTCTTAATATGAATATGAATATAATATATATGAATCGGAACATATGCATATGTACTTTTATTATAATACATATTAGTTTTACAGAATTTTCTCCAAATTCACCTTACCCAAATTACCCTTGTTACTTAGGATACTTCTTGGAATACAACTGATTTATTATTTATGTTTATTCTGTGGACAATTTCCTTCCAGTTGGAGTTATCTCATTAGAATAGATAGGACGAAACTTGTTCATTAGCTGAAGAGATCAATTATAACACCTCATCCCTGCAAGGTATAGAGGTCAGCCTCAACTCAAAGACCACGGCTGTTACTGATGATAGCATTGGCCGGTAATTCCTCATCCATCAAGGTGGAGTCTGTGAAATTGCTAATACATTCTGCTTTACCTGGTTCAAGTGGAAACCTTTGGTTCAAGTGGAAAAGTCAGTACAGGAATGTAAAGAGAAATTCACCTGACTTAAACATGGACACTGATGGGTCATGGGATTCATTCAATTGACAGGGTCTGGACCCTCCAGAGTATGGCTGAAGTCAATGCTTCAGGGTGGCCTCATCCTTCTGTTGATTATAGCCTTAATTAAATAAGGTATGAGATAACTGAATGGATTTGGTTCTAGCTTCCACGGGTTAGATTAATCAGAATGGCTGCTGGAGTGGTACAGTCGTGTGTACATTTGCCAGAAGGCAAAGCTTGTAAAAATGAGGGGTAGCTATTGTTGAGAGACAATTCTCAAAAGATCTCCACATTTCTGCACATCTTGAGAGCAGATGTAATAATGGTCCTTTTGTTCTGGATGTCTGTATATCAAATGGCCTTAGAAGACAATGTAACAAAAATAATGTCTTATTTCACAGCTAAATTCAGGCATGTTTGCTTGTAACCCACTAAAAAAGGCTCAACTTTTCAAGGCTCAAGGTTTCTTAGCTGTAATGCAAACCCACCACGTGTGCAGCAGCCACCAGGTTCCCTCTGCATTGCTGCATGTGACTTGGAGAATTCGGAGAACTGACTCAAACATGATGCTCAACTTTCTTGCCACACTGTGAGTGGTGAATTTTTCTTTCTTTCTTTTTTCTTTCTTTCCTTCTTTCTTTCTTTCTGTATCTCTCTCTCTTTTTCTCTCTCTCCCTCCCTCCCCTCCCCTCCCCTCCCTTCCCTTCCCTTTCCTTCCTTCTTTCCTTCTTTCTTTTTCTTTCTTTTTTTGGAACCAAGACTGTTGTTTATTCCACTACCATCCAATAAATGACATCCCATAAAGAACTTCCTTTAACATTTCTTGTAGTGTAGGGAGTCTGGCAATGATTTCTTTCACCTTTTGTATGCCTGAAAAAGTCTTTATTTCCCATTCAGTTTTGAAAGATTTTTTTTTTTTTGGATAATAAAAAGATAATTTATTAGCTTGCAAGTAGGGTAAAATTTCAGATCCTTCAGAATTCTTGGCAGACAAATATGGGAAAAAATCCTAAAATTTTGTACAAACAGAAATAAATGAACTGAACTATATTTCAAATTAATAATATTACCACAATTAAGGGAGTGGGAGGACAGTCTAACCAAAGTAACTTTTTTCAACTTAATACAGTATTTGGACCATGTCCTCACGCTAAAGGCAAAAAGAACTGTGAACAAATAATAAATTATTAGTAGCAGATTTATTTTTCACAGAGTTGTGGATTAGCAATTCTGAAATGACTTTATGTGTATTCTAGGACTAAGCATATAAATAAATATACTGTGGATAGTGAGAGCCAGTTTTCTGACTTTCAAAATAAGGAGTAAGAAATTAAATGGGAAGTTACTGAAACTAAAGCATCAGTGTGAAAGCATGGATTTTAATGTAGACATATGATAGATAAATGGATACAGATATATACGCATATGGCTATGTATATGGTGAAGTATACATCTACACAAATGTATGTATGTTGTATGTATATATCTATGTTATTAATTTCTTAGCTCTGTTCACTGAGGGACCTATACATAATAACATCCCATTAGCAATGACTTTATCTAGCATCTATACCTTGGTTTCTGAATATTGTTCTCCAAAAGAAAGACACAAGAATCCATAATGTAATAAGCAACACCAGAACTTGAACAATAAATCTAAAGGTGTTAAAATGATATACCTTTTTAGCTGCAGCCCACAATGTTGTTAATTTTTTTAATTGCTGTGTTTTTATTCGATACCTTATATAATTCTTGGGTTACTTAGAAGTGTGCTAATTTATACATATCTCAGTTTGTTGTTATTATTGATTTCTTATTTAATTTTAATTCTATTGTGATCAGAAAACATACTTCATAAAATTTCAATTTCATACGTTTTCTTCATGTTTGCTGTCTTATAATATGTATCTTTAACTTAACACAATTTACCTTCAAATAATATTGTACCACCGCATGTATCTTTCATGGTATTGTTGTCATGCATTTTGTTCCCTCCTGTTCTTCCACCCTTACTCTATGTTATTTTTGTGTAGTCAATTATTGCTTAAAGGTATAATAAATTTAAAAATTTTATAGTCATCCATATATTTATCATTGCTGATGCTTTCCATTTTCTTCTGATCCAAACTTCTATTATCCTTTCCCATAAAGAACTTCCTTTAACATTTCTTGTAGTGTAGGGAGTCTGGCAATGATTTCTTTCACCTTTTGTATGCCTGAAAAAGTCTTTATTTCCCATTCAGTTTTGAAAGATATTTTTCTTTCTGGATAAAGTAATCTAAGTTAATAATATAACCCCTAAAATAAAAATGGCTCTACTTTCTGGTTTGCATAATTTCAAGCAAAATCTCCTTTTCTTATCTGTGTTCCTCTGCACACACTATATCTTTATTCTTATGCCACTGGTAACTTCTTTTGTTTTCTGTGTTTTTTGAAAAATTGATTCATTGTGCCTTGGTGTATTTTTCTTTTGTTTTTGTTTTTGTTTTTTGAGATGGAGTCTTGTTCTGGTTGCCCAGGCTGGAGTGCAGTGACCTGATCTCGGCTCACTGCAACATCCGCCTCCCAGGTTCAAGCGATTCTCCTGTCTCAGCTTCCCAAGTAGCTGGGATTACAGGTGCCCTCCATGACACTCAGCTAATTTTTGTATTTTTAACAGAGACAGGGTTTCACCATGTTGGCCAGGCTGGTCTCAAACTCCTGACCTCAGGCGATCTGCCTGCCTTGGCCTCCCAAAGTGCTGGGATTACAGGCTGGAGCCACCGCACCTGGCCGTGTATTTTTATTTATGTCTATTATGCTTAAGAATTTTTGAGATTCTTTGATTTGCAGGTTTGCAGTTTTCACTAAATTTGGAACATTTTTGGTCATTATCTTTTAAATATTGTTTTGCCCCCCCTCCTCTCTTCTCTTATTCTGGTACTCTAGATACGCACATTAGGTTCCCTGCTAATGTCATACAGATTACCAATGCTTTGGGGGACTTTTAGTTTCACTCCATCTCTCCTTCTCTTTTTCTGTCTCTCTCCCTCTCTCCTTCATTTGAGTAATTTCTACTCCCATGTCTTTTTCTCTACAGTGCCTTAATATGCTGTTCCTCTCTTGCAGTGTTTTCCATTTCATATATAATTTTTGCCATATCTAGAAGTTTCATTTGAGTAATTTTTCCATCTCCCATTTCTCTCTTCACCATAGTCATGTTTTCCTCAACCTTTTTGAACTATTCACAAGATTCATTTTAATGTCCTTGTCTGCTGCTTTGATTATTACTGCCAAACCCTGGTTTGATTTTATTGACTAATTTTACTCCCTCTTTATGAGTCATATTAATAGTTTTCTGCTTATTTGCATACTGTATTAGTCAGGGTTCTCTGGAGGGACAGAACTAATAGGAAAGATATATATATATACATATATATCTTATCTTAATACTTAAATGCTGATATGAAGTCAATATATGTATATAAGATATATATATCATATATAAAGTCATATATATGAGTTTATTAAGTATTATTAAGTATAACAATACTTAAATGCTGATATGAAGTCAATATATATATAAGATATATACATCATTATAAACTCATATATATATATGAGTTTATTAAGTATTAACTTACATGATCACAAGGTCCCACAATAGGCTGTCTGCAAGCTGAGAAGAAACGAGAGCCAGTCTGAGTCCCAAAACTGAAGAACTTGGAGTCTGATATTCCAGGGCAGGAAGCAACCAGCATGGGAGAAAGATGTAGGCTGAGAGGCTAGGCCAGTCTTGCCGCTTCACATTTTTCAGCCTGCTTTATATTTGGTGGCGGCTGATTGGATGGTGCCCACTCAGTTAAGGATGGGTCTGCCCTCCCAGCCCACTGACTTAAATGTTAATCTCCTTTGGCAACACCCTCACGGAAATACCCAGAATCAATACTGCATCCTTCAATCCAATCAAGGTGACAATCAGTATTAACCATCTTAAGTCCACGCCTTGTCAACTTGAACCCATACACATCTCCTGAGATCATCCATAGTCTTCAAGTAAAGCCAATAATAAGGTCATAATTATGCCTAACATAACTATCCTTCATACAACCAGAAATGTACCAATCCCCAACCCAAATACTATTACATAAAGTTAACAATACTTAAATGCTGATATGAAGTCAATAAATCTTATGTCACGTGATAAAAAGGAAATAAAATGAAGATATTTTCTTAGTACAAGTGTATGCATGCACGAACATATTTTTAACAAAACAAGGAGGAAATACTCATGACAATTACAGTTCTCATTTCTGCAGCTGGCCATGTGGTCATAGCTGGCATTGATGACTTCTACTATCTATTCTGTATTCCCTTTGCCTTCAGCAAGCACCTCAGCAGATCGTGGCTTTTTTCCTAGTGGAGTGACCCAAACCTTCATTCCTGAAGGGTCTGGATCATTTGTAGTCCTGCCTGGATTGGGCCTTTGTAGTTTCCCATAGATCTTAATCACAGGGCATGGTAATACTAAGAGATACCCTAATGGATCTCCTGTATTCCATGAGTACTCTTCCTTACCTCTGTTATGTAGTAGTAGACTGATTTCATCTTGACAGTCCAGGTCAATCACCCCAGTCAACACTGTAACTCCTTTCTTAGCCTGTTGACTTAAAGGTAGGAGAAGCCTAAAGTGTCCAGGTGGCAATCTCAACTTCCAGTTTAATGGAATCATTGTTGTGTCTCCTGACGGCAGCCTTCCTCCCTCTGGAACTAAGACCTCTAGGCAAGCAGGACGTAATGTCATGGCAACAGGAAGCAAAAATTTTGCTAGTAGATCACTAAGGGTGATGGTGAGTGGTGCCACTTCCACTTCCACCCTTTGATTCCTGGACCCATGAATCCTGGATATGGGAGAAACAGTACTATATATCAGACGCTGATTCAGAGAATACATGGCCTTCTGGAGATCTCTGCCCCAGCCCTGCAAAGTATTGTCACCTAGTTGGCATTGTAATTGTGACTTCAAAAGGCCATTCCACCATTCTATCAATCCAGCTGCTATAGGATGATGGGGAATATGGTAAGACCAGTGAATTCCATGAGCATGAGCCCACTGCCACACTTCTTTAGCTGTAAAGAGAGTGCCTTGGTCAGAGGCAATGCTGTGTGGAATACCATGACAATGGATAAGGCATTCTGTGAATCCATAGATGCTAGTCTTGGCAGAAGCATTGTGTGCAGGATAGGCAAACCAATATCCAGAGTAAGTATCTACTCCAGTGAGTACAAACCTCTGCCCTTTCTGTGATGGAAGAGGTCAAATATAATCAACCTGCCACCAGGTAGCTGGCTGATCACCCCGAGGAATGATGCTATATCTAGGGCTCAGTGTTGGTCTCTGCTGCTGGCAAATTGGGCACTCAGCAGTGGCCATAGCCAGGTCAGCCTTGGTGAGTGGAAGTCCATGTTGCTGAGCCCATGCGTAACCTCCATCCCTGCCACTAAGGCCACTTTGTTC